>NC_000002.12:189307799-189610830 GCF_000001405.40 Homo sapiens
GCAAAATATAGTAATTAAGAAAATAAATCCTTTATCACAAACCCTTGTAGCAGGGCACATCTGCCCATGATCTTTTTTATCCTGTACATAAACAAGCATTGTACCTAGGGTGTACATATTCCTCCTCTTACTTTTGGGAATGGCCTACTCTGTTCTATGGAATAGCTGTTCTTTTACTTTACTTTCTTAATAAACTCGCTTTTGCTTTGCACTGTGGACTCACCCTGAATTCTTTCTTGTGTGAGATCCAAGAACTCTCTCTTGGGGTCTGGATCAGGACCCCTTTCCTGTAACAGATTTGGGCAATAAACTGGGGTGTGGGTGTGTAGGTGTGGGTGTAGGGATGTGTTTTCTCATGGAAAATCTCATGTGTATTGTAAGCCAAAAATAAAATTCTAAGCCCTCCCCCCTCCCTCTCAGCCAAGGGCATTCCAAAATAAACCGGTTCAGGCCATGATGGGAAGGAGGAAGGAGGGTCAGACATGCCTCATTATACCCTCCTCCCTTTGGCACTCAGGCACAGCTGACCAGCATTAACATTAAGCAATAAGACACCAAAATCCAGCCTGACTCTCTAATATAGCATCACATAACAGATAGCCGGCCCTGAAAGAAATCAAAGTATTTTACCCCAAAATACATTTCTTCGACATATTTTGAAATGGCCCTGCAAAGCTATCTCTTAGGAGGGAAAATACACTTTTTGTAGAAAATCCCCATTCCTGTCTAGGCCTTTTCCTTGATCCAGGAGAGAATTAACTTAGAGTCTGGCACCTTTTTAGGTCTGATAAGACCTCTGAAGCTGTTACCAGGAGGCTTTATCTGCATGATAAAACCTTGGTCTCCACAACCCCTTATCTTAACCTAGACATTTCTTTCTATTGATTCCAGGTCTTTAGATAATAACTCTTTCAGCAATTGCCAATTAGAAAACCTTTGACTCCATCTGTGACCTGGAAGCCCTCCCTTCAGAGAGAGGGCTTCAAGTTGTCCTACCTTTCTGGACCGAAACAAATTCATGTTACACACATTGACTGATGTCTTAAGTCTCCCTAAAACATATAAAACCAAGCTATAGCCTGACCACCTTGGGCACATGTTTTCAGGATGTCCTAGGACTGTGTCACGGGCCACTGCTCACTCATATTTGACTCAGAATAAAAGGCTTCAGATATTTTACAGAGTTTGATTCTTTTTGTCAACAGTATGTTTCTGATTTGGTGACTCTCTTGGGCAGCTCTGCTTCAAGTAGTGACTTAGTGATCACAGCTCCTTTTGTTACAGGAGGTAGCTTGTCAGGCATGAATAGGGCATGAGAGGGTCTCTCCCCGACAACCTCATCGAGAATGTCAGGCAAGTATCAGGTGATGGTCAGGTGATTGTTACACTGTTTCTCTAAAATAATAATTGGTCACAGCCAGCACCAGGAAAAGGGAGTCTCCCAATAAATAGAAAAACCTGAAACGTGATCAGTAGCATCCCGATAAGATCTCAGGAGTTGGGTAAATGGGCTCAAGCATGAGAACTAAGAGGCAAAATGGCTGAGTTTAACTGATATACGACCTTCTAGGAGCATTTGACTGGTAAGAGAAGAATGCCCCAAGTAAGCATGCGTACAACTCCAGTAAACACACTGCACGTATGGTACCTCCCAAGTGCTGGCAGGCCACTGCGCATGCAGACTCCCCACCCCAAGGAAATAATCAGGGGAGAAGTGACACATGACCCTGGAAGTATGCCAACAAACCATGCACTTGATCTCTCAAGTCACCTGCTTGGCCCTCTTCTAAATGTATTTTACTTCCTTTTGTTCCTGCTCTAAATCTTTTTAATAAACTTTCACTCCTGTTTTAAAACTTGCCTCAGTCTCTCACTCTGTCTTATACCCCTCAGTTGAATTATGTCTTCTGAGGAGGCAAGAATCAAGGTTGCCGCAGACCTTTATGGATTTGCCACTGTTAAACACTGTGATGTGACCATCTGCCAGACTTTTGTCTGTGCTTCTGCTAGATCCTCTACATTCAGTCAGTTCATAAGCACAGAGAAAGCATGTTTAAGTTTGCAAGATAATTTAGAGGTCACGCTTAAAACTGGCATACATCCATTCATATTCTGTTGACCAGGCTTAGTTACATGGCCCCATGTTGATGCAAGGTGACTGGAAAGAATAGTATTTCTCTATGACTAAAAGAAAAAGAAAGTAGTTTGTTAAACACACAGCAATTCCTCTGCTTTACAAGGCAGAATATACATAAATAATGAGCTTAATCATTCTTATTTTCTTATCAGTGGAAGCAAAGTTGTATGTGAGGAAAAGAAACATTTCTCTATTAATAAATGATTTTTTAAAATATGTATCAAGTGAGTGCTAATACAAGGAACATTAATAATAGATAATGCCACAACGTGGTTTTCCAGAAAATATAAAGGTAACAATCCAATAAAAAAACCGGCAAAAGATTTGAATAGATGTTTCTCAAAATAAGACATACAAATGGCAAACAGGCATATGAAAAGGTGCTCAACACCACTGATCATCAGAGAAACGCAAATCAAAGCTACAAGGAGATATCATTATACCATTTGGATATAAAATGGCTTATATCCAAAAGACAGGAAATAACAAATGCTGAAGAAGATGTGTAGAAAAATAAACCCTTGTGCACTATTGGTGGGAATGTAAATTAGTACAACCACTATGGGGAACAGTTTGGAAGTTCCTCAAAAAACTAAAAATTGAGCTACCATATGATCCAGCAATCCCACTGTTGGGTACACACATCCAAAAGAAAGGAAATCAGGACCTTGAAGAGATAACTGCACTCCTGTGTTTGTGGCAGCACTGTTCACAACAAGATTTGGAAGCAACCTAAGTGACTATCAATAGATGAATGGATAAAGAAAATGTGGTACACATACACAATGGAGTACTATCAAACCAAAAAAAAAAAGAATGAGATCTAGTCACTTGCAACAACATGGATGGAACTGGAGATCATTATGTTAAGCAAAATAAACCAGGCACAGAAAGACAAACATCACATGTTCTCACTTATTTCTAGGATCTAAAAATCAAAACGATTAAACTCATACAGATAGGGAGTAAAAGGATGGTTACCAGGGGCTGGGAAGGGTAGTGGGGAGCAGGGGGAGGTGGGGATGTTTAATGAGTACAAAAAAAAATTAGTTAGGAGTGGCTGGCTGGAGTTCCAGGCCAGTGGGTCTTATCCTGTAAAGCACCATGCAAGTGGGGTGACTCTTGCTACTCAGCACCCTGGATTCAGCCTCATTCCTAGGGAATTGTTTACCAGTTTTTGAAGTATCCAAGGCAACCAGGGGCTGAAGTGGACCCCCAGCACTGCACAGCCACTTTACAAAAATGTGGCCAGACTATTTTTTTTTCACCTCTGAACTTTTTATTGGCCTCCTGCTCCCCAAAGGGTACCCTGCTTCTGCTGGCTTAATGTTTCAGAACTTTGGTGTCATTGGTCTCAGACACCACTTGGCCATCCACTATCTGGCAGGTGGTGGTGTTTTGGATGGTTTGCATGGAGTTGCTGCTGTCCAGGGCATCACCAAGATTGAAGTCCTCACCATCTTCCAGCAGGCGGCGGTAGGTGGTGATCTCAGCCTCCAGCTTGACCTCGATGTTCAGCAGGGCCTCCTATTCCTGGGCTTGGTGCTGTCCCTCTGCCCGAGTCTGTGCCAGCTCTGACTCCAGGTGCAGCAGGATCCTGTTGAGCTGCTCCATCTGCTGGGCGTAGTGGGCCTCCACCTCCCTCAGGCTGTTCTCCAAGCTGGCCTTCAGATTTCTCATAGAGTCCAGGTCCATCTCCAAGGACTGGACTGTATGTCTCAGCTCCATGAGCATCATCTCAGCAGCTCCAACCTCAGTGGACTGCATGGTGACCACTGTGGTCTCTCCTCAATCTGCTGAGACCAGTACTTGTCAAGCTCCTCTCGGTTCTTCCAAGCCAGCTCATCACATTGGACCTGGATGTCTGAAATGATCCTGAGATTTGGGGGCATCTACCTCCACGGTCAAGCCAGAGCTGGCAATCTGGGCTTGTAGGCCTTTTACTTCCTCTTTGTGGTTCTTCTTTATAAAGAGCAGCTCTGCCTTGAGAGCCTCGATCTCTGTCTCCAGCTGCAGCCGAGTGACATTGGTCATCAGTGACCTTGTGGAGCCCATGGATGTCACTCTCCACAGACTGGCACATGGCCAGCTCTGTCTCATACTTGACTCTGAAGTCATCAGCAGCAAGATGGGCATTGTCGATCTGCAGAATGATGCTGGCATTGTCCACAGCATTTGCGAAGATCTGAGACCTCAGGTCCTCGATGGTCTTGAAGTAATGACTCCAGTCTCTGACCTGGGGTCCCTTCTTCTCCAGGTGCTCCCGGATTTTGCTCTCCAGCTTCCTGTTCTCGGTCTCCAGGCTCCTCACTCTGTCCAGGTAGGAGGCCAGGTGGTCGTTCAGGCTTTGCATGGTATCCTTCTCGTTCTGGATGTCTCCCATTCCTGCCAGACCCCTGGCCATTCCCATGGCCAGGCCCCCGGATCCCACGCCGCCCCAGAAGCTGGTGGAGCGGGACATGGAGATCCAGGAACCAGAGCCCCCAGTGCCTGCACAGACACTGGCTGCACTGCTGACCGGCCGGGCGCCGTAGCTGGGCACCTGGACAGAGCCCAGAGACCAGTAGTTGGTGAAGGTGGAGCGAGTGGTGAAGCTCATGCCGTCCCAGGAAGAGAGCAAGAGGACAGGACTCAGGCTTTGCCAATGACCCAGACAACTTTTTTAAACAGGTCTTTGATCCCATTTCTCCTGACTGGGTCAGACCTCCGATCTAGAGTCGCCAGCCACCTCCCACAGGTGTGTTCAGGCTGGCAACAAGTTTGTACCTCCCTGAGATGGACCTCCCAAAGGAAGGGGCAGGCTGCCATCTTTGCTCATTCACAGCCTTCACTGGTGATACGTCTAGGTACTGGAAAATCTGAGTTGATTAGGGACTAGAAAAGACTCTCAGCATACCACAGAAGCCCTACTGAAAAGTAGCTAGACTGTTAAAGGAAAAAAAAAAAAATCACCCAAAAGTCAGCAACCTCAAAGATAGAAGGTAGATAAGCATACAAAGATGAGAAAGATTCAGCACAAGAACGCTGATAAAACATTGCAGGAGCTGACAGACAAAATAGCTGGTATGAAGAAGAATGTAGCCAACCTGACAGAGCTGAAAAATACCCTACAAGAATTTCATATTGCAATCACAAGTATTAATAGCGTAATAGATCAAGCAGAAGAAAGAATCTCAGAGCTTGAAGACTGCCTGTCTGACAAGACGGGAGCAGACAAAAATAGAGAAAAAAGAATGAAAAGGAATAAACAAAACCTCCAAGAAATGTGGGCTTATGTAAACAGACCGAATCTATGACTGATAAGTTTACTTACAAGAGATGGGAAGAATGGAATCAATTTGGAAAACATACTTTAGGATATCATCCATGAGAACGTTCCCAACCTAGCTAGACAGGCCAACATTCAAATTTCATAAATGAAGGAGAAATAAGATCCTTTTCAGACAAGCAAATGCTGAGAGAACTTGTTACCTCCAAAACTGCCTTACAAGAGATCCTGAAGGAAGCAATAAATATGAAAAGTAAAGACCATTACCAGTCATTACAAAAACACACTGAAGTACACAGACCAGTGACACAATAAAGCAACTACATAAACAAGTCTGCAAAATAACTAGCTAACATCATGATGACAGGATCAAATCCACACATATCAATACTAACCTTAAATGTAAATAGGATAAATACACCAATTAAAAGACACAGAGTGACAAGCTGGATAAAGAACCAAGACTCATCAGTATGCTATCTTCGAAAGACCCATCTCACATGCAATGACCCACATGGGCTCAAAATAAAGGGATGGAGGAAAATCTACCAAGAAAATGGAAAACAGAAAAAAATCAGGGGTTGCAATTCTCCTTTCTGACAAAACAGACTTTAAACCAACAAAGATCAAACAAGATGAAGAAGGGCATTACATAATGGTAAAGGGTTCAATTCAGCAAGAAGAATTAACTATCCTAAATATATATGCACACAACACAGGAACACCCAGATTCATAAAGCAAGTTCTCAGAGACCTTCAGAGAGACTTAGACTCCCACAAAATAATAGTGGGGAACTTTAACACCCCACCAACAATATTAGACAGATCATCAAGACAGAAAATTAACAAAGATATTCAGGACCTGAACTCAGCAGTGGATCAAATGGACCTAATAGATATCTATAGAACTCTCCACCCAAAAGCAACAAAATATACATTATTCTCATTACTACATGGCACTTACTGTAAAATCAATCACATAATCAGAAGTAAAACACTCCTCAGCAAATTCAAAAGACCTGAAATCATAACAAACAGTCTCTCAGACCACAGTACAAATTTGAAATCAAGACTAAGAAATTCATTCAAAACCATACAATTACATGAAAATTGAATAACCTGCTCTGAAATGACTTTTGGTTAAATAATAAAATTAAGGCAGAAATCAACAAGTCCTTTGAAACTAATGAAAACAAAGATACAACACACCAGAGTCTCTGGGACAGTTACAGCAGTTTTAAGAGGGAAATTTACAGCACTAAATACCCACATCAAAAAGTTAGAAAAACCTCAAGTTAACCTAACATCACAACTAAAAGAACTAAAGAACAAATAGTAAACAAATCCCAAAGCTAACAGAAGACAAGAAATAACCAAAAACACAGCTGAACTGAAGGAGACTGAGACGCAAGAAACCATTCAAAACTTCAAAAAATCCAGGAGCTAGTTTTTTGAAAAATTAATAAAACAGATCACTACTAGCTAGACTAATAAAGAAGAAAAAGTAGTTTCAAATAAACACAATCATAAATGACAAGGGGGATATTACCACTGACCCCATAGAAATACAAACAACCATCAGAGAATATTATGAACACCTCTATGCACATAAACTAGAAAATCTAGAAAAAATAGATAAATTTCTGGACACATACACCCTCCTACGACTGAACCAGGAAGAAACTGAATCCCTGAACAGACTAATAACGAGTTCTGAAATTGAGGCAGTAATAAATAGCATACCAACCAAAAAAAGCCCAGGACCAGATGGATTCACAGATGAATTCTTCCAAATGTACAAAGAAGAGCTAGTACCATTCCCTTTGCAACTATTCCAAAATGTTGAGGAGGAAGGACTCCTTCCAAACTCATTCTGAGGCCAGCATCATCCTGATACCCAAACCTGGGAGAGATACAACAAAAAAAGAAAACTTCATGAACTTGATGAACACTGATGCAAAAATCCCCAACAAAATACTGGCAAGCCAAATCCAGCAGCATATCAAAATATATCAAAATAGCTGATCCACCACAATCAAGTAAGCTTCATCCCTGGGATGCAAGATTGGTTCAATATACACAAGTCAATACATGTGATTCATCTCATAAACAGAACTGAAGGCAAAAACCACATGATTATCTCAATAGATGCAGAAAGGCTTTTGGTAAAATTCAACATCTGTTCATGTTAAAAATTCCCTATAACTAGGTATTGAAGGAAAATACCTCAAAATAATAAGAACCATATATGACAAACCCACAGCCAACATCACACTGAATGGGCAAAAGCTAGAAGCATTCCTCTTGAAAATCAGCACAAGACAAAGGTGCCCTCTCACCACTCCTATTCCACATAGTATTGGAAGTTCTGGCCAGGACAATTGGGCAAGAGAAAGAAAGAAAGGGTATTCGAATAGGAAGAGAGGAAGTCAAACTATCCCTGTTTGCAGATGACATAATCCTGTATCTAGAAAACCCCCTTGTCTAGGCCCAAAAGCTTCTTAAGCTGATAAACAACTTCAGGAAGGTCTCAAGATACAAAATTATTGTGTAAAATTACTATCAATTCTATATACCAACAACAGTCAAGCCAAGAGCCAAATCAGGAATGAACTCCCATTCACAGTTGCCACAAAAAGAATAATTGGAAAAAAGCTCAATATCACTGATCACTAAACGAATGCACTGAGATACCATCTTACACCAGTCAGAATGACTATTTAATAAATGACTTTTTAATAAAAAGTCAAAAATAATAGATGCTGGCAAGGTCGTGGAGAAAAAGGAATGCTTATACACTGTTGGTGGGAGTGTAAATTAGTTCAGCCATTGTGGAAGACAGTGTGGCAATTCCTCAAAGACCTAAAGACAGAAATACCATTCAACTCAGCAATTCCATTACTTGCTATATACCTAAGGAAGATAAATCACTCTGTTATAAAGACACATGCACATGTATGTTCCTTGAACCACTATTCATAATAGCAAAGATATAGAATCAACCTTAATGTCCATCAATGATAGACTGGATAAAAAAATGTGGTACATATATACCATGAAATACTATGCAGCCATGAAAAGGAATGAGATCATGTTCTTTGCAGGGACATGGATGGAGCTGGAGGCCATTATCCTTAGCATACTAATATAGGAATAGAAAACCAAACACCACATGTTCTCACCTATAAATGGGAGCTCATGCAGGGTTTAATACCTAAGTGATGGGTATATAGGTGCAGCAAACCACCATGGCACATGTTTACCTGTGTAACAAATCTGCATGTCCTGAAGGAAAAAAATTAAAATGTAAAAAAAAATAAGTGGGAACTAAATGATGAGAACACATAGACACACAGAGAGAACAACACAAACTGGGGTCCTTCAGAGGGTAAAGAGTGGGAGGAGGGAGAGAATGAGGAAAAATAATGAATGGTTACTAGACTTAATTCCTGGGTGGTGAAATAATCTGTAAAACAAACCCCCATGACACAAGTTCACCTGTATAACAAACCTGCACTTGTACCCCTAAACTTAAAGTATAAGTCAAAATTTATTTATTTATTTTTAGTCACTTAAAAGCAAAAAAAAAAAAAAAGACTGAATAAGACCTACTATTTGATACCACAACAGGGTGATTATGGTCAATAATAACTTAATTATACATTTTAAAATAACTTAAAAGTGTAGTCAGATTGTTTGTAACCCAAAGGATAAATTATTGAGGAGATGAAGACCCCATTCTCCATGATGTGCTTATCTCACATTGCATGCCTGTATCAAAACATCTCAAGTATTTCATAAATATATACACCTACTATGTACCCACAAAAATTAACAAGAAAATAAAAGCGTACATTCATATTTTTATTCATTTTAGTCTTTATATAAAGCCAAAGGTATATTATTTTTAAGAAAACTTATGAAGTCATTTCTATAGCATAAGATAATGTTGTTTTCTATTAATCAAAATGTCACAGAGTTCAGGTTCCTAAGATTACTTTATGGAGATGTATACCTATATACTTCAAATATCAATTTTCTTACCTAGAATTTTGTCAGAAATAAGATTTTCAAGTAATTTGACTTATCCTGGCAGTATTTCCTCTATATAAATTATAAGAAACACTCATTTGATTTCAATGTTATTTCATATTTTCAGGTTTTCCATTTTTTAATAGAATTTCTTCTCTGAAAGCAAGAGTTGCTAACACTTCTATAATTCTTCCTATATGGCAGACAATGTTCCAAATACTTTCTATGTACTGTTAGGTTCTGAGATTTGAACTGAGACTGTCTGGTTTAAGAATCCATGCTTCTAATCACTAACAAGGACTCTTAATAACATTCTTGATTTAAAAGAATATATGAGATTAATAAATAGTTTATTTCTACATATTACCAAATTTACAAAACCACTCAATATGACAGTTTTATTACTTAGAAAGCCAAGAATTTATTTCATCCACATTGATGAAATAGGGAAAAATGTATATAATTCCAAAGAGTAGTTAATCTAAAAGTTAGGTATGTGGCTTTAATATACTAAGAATTTTTTTTATGCTTGAAGTACAGATTCACTCAGATTGCATTATAGGTAAAACTTATTTGCAGGTGATGAAAGCAGCTATGCCAACAATCAAAACTATTCAAATTGAAAGGTAAAATTGACTAGCTGGTATTCAAAATTATTTGACTGACCAAAATATAGGAGCACTAAATGTGATCATAATTTTAATGAAATAAAAATGTAAGCACTCACTTGTTCCTGACAAAATTTTCCTCTTTAGCACTAATTTTAGGAAAGTTTTTTGTTTGTTTGTTTGTTTGTTTTTACTCTCAGAGCTCTGGAATTCTCTAGAAGAGTGCACAATATACAGAACCAAGATATTATCGTGCTGTTTTTCTAAACTCTGTATCTGACCCTGTAGAACACCTGTGTCTGCAAACACTGATATGAGTGGTCCCACTCAGGGCTGACTTCAAACTGCATTGATCTTTCAACTCACTGCAATATCTGAGAACAGAGTTGGCATGTACTGACTTAAGAAATAAGTTAAAGTATGACAAGGGGATAAAAAATACCAATTAAGTTTTCTCACCTGTAGTGTCAACCTATATAATGCTGACTTATCCTCAAGGATTCCATCGCCCATTTTACTAAATTTCCTTCTCTTGCCTCACTTTAGCCTTTGATTTCTATGCCAGCCTTGAATTAGCCAACTCCCTCTACATGCCTTATTCTTCTAGTTATTTGGTTCAAAATTTATTTTAAAAGGGGGCTAATTCATTGCCATGAGCTTATAAGATAGTAGTCCCCTCAACAAGAATCCCTTTCAACTGGACTCCACAGCATGATTTTTTCTAAAGCTTCTCATTCTCCACAAACTCCTCCAATTAATAGTACCTGATAGGTAAATGGTATTTTGACAAAGCCATTTTGACAAGAGAACACTTTGAAGCACTTAAAAATAAAATTATTAAACTTTTCTTAACAACTTTTATTTTAGTTAATTTGTAAAGCAAATATCATCACTTCATCTCCTCTCTCAGATCTGGGGGAGGAAATAGAAGAAGAGCCAAGGATAACGTGGGGCTTGGGGGTGTCAGTTGCCACACCTGTTTTGAATAGTTTTGAATTTTGACACAGCTGCTTTAGTCACCTGCAAATAAACCTCTGCCAGAGTCAAACAGCTGCCTCCAAATGGACACCCTGCATCTGATTAAGCTTAGTTTATTATCATTATACATCTGCACTTCTCAAAGTATTCATATCCCCAGGATATGTGGTACTGTGCCAAGAGACACTCAGAAGCAAGGCTCAACATAACAGCTGCCAGGGATGTCTATTTTAGACATATTTGAGAAAAAAAAATAACCTTGCCTGTTACTGATTTTATATTAAAACAAACATGGATATGGCATGAAATTAAATGAAATTTTGAATAAATTGTTAAAATAAAACATGACATGTTAAAGAAAGAGACTGCAAGATGGCCGAATAGGAACAGCTCCAGTCTACAGCTCCCAGCGTGAGCGGCGCAGAAGATGGGTGATTTCTGCATTTCCAACTTAGGTACTGGGTTCATCTCACTGGGGCTTGTCAGACAGTAGGTGCAGGACACTGGATGCAGCGCACCAAGCGTGAGCCGAAGCAGGGCGAGGCATCGCCTAATCCGGGAAGTGCAAGGGGTCAGATAATTCCCTTTCATAGCCAAGCAAAGCTGTGACAGACTGCACCTGGAAAATCAGGTCACTCCCACACTAATACTGCGCTTTTCCAATGGTCTTAGCAAACAGCACACCAGGAGATTATATCCCGTGCCTGGCTCGGAGGGTCCCACGCCCACGGAGCCTTGCTCATTGCTAGCATAGCAGTCTGAGATCAAACTGCAAGGCAGCAGCCAGGCTCGGGGAGGGGCGCCCGCCATTGCTGAGGCTTGAGTAGGTAAACAAAGCGACCAGGAAGCTTGAACTGGGTGGAGCCCACTGCAGCTCAAGGAGGCTGGCCTGCTCTGTAGACTCCACCTCTGGGAGCAGGGCGTAGCCGAACAAAAGGCAGCAGAAACCTCTGCAGACTTAAATGTCCCTGTCTGACAGCCTTGAAGAGAGTAGTGGTTCTTCCAGCACAGAGTTTGAGATCTGAGAATGGACAGACTGCATCCTCAAGTGGGTCCCTGACCCCCAGGTAGCCTATCTGGGAGGCACCCCCCCAGTAGGGGCAGACTGACATCTCACATGGCCGGGTACCCCTCTGAGACAAAACCTCCAGAGGAATGATCAGACAGCAACATTTGCTGTTCAGCAATATTCACTGTTCTGCAGCCTCCACTGCTGATATCCAGGCAAACAGGGTCTGGAGTAGAACTCCCGCAAATTCCAACAGACCTGCAGCTGAGGATTCCGACTATTAAAAGGAAAACTAACAAACAGAAAGGACATCCACACCAAAAACCCATCTGTACGTCACCATCATCAAAGACCAAAGGTAGATAAAAAACACAAAGATGGGGATAAAACAGAGCAGAAAAACTGAAAATTCTAAAAATCAGAGCGCCTCTCCTCCTCCAAAGGAATGCAGCTCCTCACCAGCAACAGAACAAAGCTGGACAGAGAATGACTTTGATGAGTTGAGAGAAGAAGGCTTCAGACGATCAAACGTCTCCGAGCTAAAGGGGGAAGTTTGAACCCATTGCAAAGAAGTTAAAAACCTTGAAAAAAGATTACACGAATGGCTAACTAGAATAACCAATGCAGAGAAGTCCTTAAAGGACCTGATGGGGCTGAAAACCATGGCACGAGAACTACGTGACAAATGCACAAGCTTCAGTAGCCGACTCGATCAACTGGAAGAAAGAGTATCAGTGATTGAAGATCAAATGAATGAAATAAAGTGAGAAAAGAAGTTTAGAGAAAAAAGAATAAGAAGAAATCAACAAAGCCTCCAAGAAATATGGGACTATGTGAAAAGACCAAATCTACGTCTGATTGGTGTACCTGAAAGTGATGGGGAGAATGGAACCAAGTTGGAAAACATTCTTCAGGTTATTATCCAGGAGAACTTCCCCAACCTAGCAAGGAAGGCCAACATTCAAATTCAAGAAATACAGAGAACGCCACAAAGATACTCCTCGAGAAGAGCAACTCCAAGACACATAATTGTCAGATTCACCAAAGTTGAAATGAAGGAAAAAATGTTAAGGGCAGCCAGAGAGAAAGGTCGGGTTACCCACACAGGGAAGCCTATCAGACTAACAGTGGATCTCTGGGCAGAAACTCTACAAGCCAGAAGAGAGTGGGGGCCAATATTCAACATTCTTAAAGAAAAGAATTTTCAACCCAGAATTTCATATCCAGCCAAACTAAGCTTCATAAGTGAAGGAGAAATAAAATCCTTTATAGACAAGCAAATGCTGAGAGATTTTATCACCACCAGGCCTGCCCTACAACAGCTCCTGAAGGAAGCACTAAACATGGAGAGGAACAACCAGTACCAGCCACTGCAAAAACATGCCAAATTGTAAAGACCATCGATGCTAGGAGGAAACTGCATCAACTAACGAGTAAAATAACCAGCTAACATAATGATGACAGGATCAAATTCACACATAACAATATTAACTGTAAATGTAAATGGGCTAAATGTTCCAATTAAAAGACACAGACTGGAAAATTGGATAAAGAGTCAAGACCCATCAGTGTGCTGTATTCAGGAAACCCATCTCACGTGCAGAGACACACATAGGCTCAAAATAAAGGGATGGAGGAAGATCTACAAGCAAATGGAAAACAAAAAATGGCAGGGGTTGCAATCCTAGTCTCTGATAAAACAAATTTTAAGCCAACAAAGATCAAAAGAGACAAAGAAGGCCATTACATAAAGGTAAAGGGATCAATTCAACAAGAAGAGCTAACTATCCTAAATATATATGCACCCAATACAGGAGCACCCAGCTTCATAAAGCAAGTCCTTAGACTTGCTACTTAGACCTACAAAGAGACTTAGACTCCCACACAATAATGACGGCAGACTTTAACACCCCATTGTCAACATTAGACAGATCAATGAGACAGAAAGTTAACAAGGATATCCAGGAATTGAATTCAGCTCTGCACCAAGCAGACCTAATAGACATCTACAGAACTCTCCACCACAAATCAACAGAATATACATTCTTCTCAGCACCACATCGCACCTATTCCAAAATTGACCACATAGTTGGAAGTAAAGCACTCCTCAGCAAATGTAAAAGAACAGAAATTATAACAAACTGTCTCTCAGACCACAGTGCAATCAAACTAGAACTCAGCATTAAGAAACTCACTCAAAACCACTCAATTACATGGAAACTGAACAACCTGCTCCTGAATGACTACTGCGTACATAACGAAATGAAGGCAGAAATAAAGATGTTCTTTGAAACCAACAAGAACAAAGACACAACATACCAGAATCTCTGGGACACATTTAAAGCAGTGTGTAGAGGGAAATTTATAGCACTAAATACCCACAAGAGAAAGCAGGAAAGATCTAAAATTGACACCCTAACATCACAATTAAAAGAACTAGAGAAGCAAGAGCAAACACATTCAAAAGCTAACAGAAGGCAAGAAATAACAAAGATCAGAGCAGAACTGAAGGACATAGAGACACAAAAAACCCTTCAAAAAATCAATGAATACAGGAGCTGACTTTTTGAAAAAATCAACAAAACTGATACACTGCTAGCAAGACTAATAAAGAAGAAAAGAGAGAAGAATCAAACAGACGCAATAAAAATGATAAAGGGGATATCACCACCGATCCCACAGAAATACAAACTGCCATCACAGAATACTATAAACACCTCTACGCAAATAAACTAGAAAATCTAGAAGAAATGGATAAATTCCTCGACACATACACCCTCCCAAGACTAAACCAGGAAGAAGTTGAATCTCTGAATAGACCAATAACACACTCTGAAATTGAGGCAACAATTAATAGCTTAGCAACCAAAAAACGTCCAGGACCAGACGGATACACAGCCGAATTCTACCAGAGGTACAAGTAGGAGGTAGTACCATTCCTTCCGAAACTACTCCAATCAATAGAAAAAGAGGGAATCCTCCCTGAATCATTTTATGAGGCCAACATCATGATATCAAAGCCTGGCAGAGGCACAACAAAAAAAGAGAATTTTAGACCAATATCCCTGATGAACATCGATGCAAAAATCCTCAATAAAATAGTGGCAAACTGAATCCAGCAGCACAAAAAGCTTATCCACCATGATCAGGTGGGCTTCATCCCTGGGATGCAAGCTGGTTCAACATACACAAATCAATAAACGTAATACAGCATATAAACAGAACCAATGACAAAAACTACATGATTATCTCAATAGACGCAGAAAAGGCCTTCGAAAAAATTCAAAAGCGCTTCATGCTGAAAACTCTCAATAAATTAGGTACTGATGGGACGTATCTCAAAATAATAAGAGCTATTTATGACAAACCCACAGCCAATATCATACTGAATGGGCAAAAACTGGGAGCATTCCCTTTGAAAACTGGCACAAGACAGGGATGCCCTCTCTCACCACTCCTATTCAACATAGTGTTGGAAGTTCTGGCCAAGGCAATGAGGCAGGAGAAGGAAATAAAGGGTATTCAATTAGGAAAAGAGGAAGTCAAATTGTCACTGTTTGCAGATGACATGATTGTACATCTAGAAAACCCCATCGTCTCAGCCCAAAATCTCCTTAAGCTGATAAGCAACTTCAGCAAAGTCTCAGGATACAAAATCAATGTGCAAAAATCACAAGCATTCTTATACACCAATAACAGACAAACAGAGAGCCAAATCATGAGTGAACTCCCATTCACATTTGCTTCAAAGAGAATAAAATACCTAGGAATCCAACTTACTAGGGATGTGAAGGACCTTTTCAAGGAGAACTACAAACCACTGCTCAATGAAATAAAAGAGGACACAAACAAATGGAAGAACATTCCATGCTCATGGATAGCAAGAATCAATATTGTGAAAATGGCCATACTGCCCAAGGTAATTTATAGATTCAATGCCATCCCCATCAAGCTACCAATGCCTTTCTTCACAGAATTGGAAAAAACTACTTTAAAGTTCATATGGAACCAAAAAAGAGCCTGCATTGCCAAGTCAATACTAAGCCAAAAGAACAAAGCTGGAGGCATCACGCTACCTGACTTCAAACTATACTACAAGGCTACAGTAACTAAAACAGCATGATACTAGTACCAAAACAGAGATACAGACCAGTGGAACAGAACAGAGCCCTCAGAAATAATACCACACATCTACAACTATCTGATCTTTGGCAAACCTGACAAAAACAAGAAATGGGCAAAGGATTCCCTATTTAATAAATGGTGCTGGGAAAACTGGCTAGCCATAAGTAGAAAGCTGAAACTGGATCCCTTCCTTACACCTTATACAAAAATTCATTCAAGATGGATTAAAGACTTAGACCTAAAACCATAAAAACCCTAGAAGAAAATCTAGGCAATACCACTCAAGACATAAGCATGGGCAAGGATTTCATGTCTAAAACACCAAAAGCAATGGCAACAGAAGCCAAAATTGACAAATGGGATCTAATTAAACTAAATAGCTTCTGCATAGCAAAAGAAACTACCATCAGAGTGAACAGGCAACCTACAGAATGGGAGAAAATTTTTGCAATCTACTCATCTGACAAAGGGCTAATATCCAGAATCTACAAAGAACTCAAACAAATTTACAAGAAAAAAACAAACAACCCCATCAAGAAGTGGGTGAAGGATATGAGCAGACATTTCTCAAAAGAAGACATTTATGCAGCCAACAGACACATGAAAAAATGCTCATCATCACTGGCCATGAGAGAAATGCAAATCTAAACCACAAATGAGATATCATCTCACACCAGTTAGAATGGCGATCATTAAAAAGTCACGAAACAACAGGTGTTGGAGAGGATGTGGAGAAATAGGAACACTTTTACACTGTTAGTGGGACTGTAAACTAGTTCAACCATTGTGGAAGACAGTGTGGTGATTCCTCAGGGATCTAGAACTAGAAATACCATTTGACCCAGCCATCCCATTACTGGGTATATACCCAAAGGAATATAAATCATGCTACTATAAAGACACAAGCACACATATGTCTATTGCGGCACTACTCACAATAGCAAAGACTTGGAACCAACCCAAATGTCCAACAATGATAGACTGGATTAAGAAAATGTGGCACATATACACCATGGAATACTATGCAGCCATAAAAAATGATGAGTTCATGTCCTTTGTAGGGACATGGATGAAGTTGGAAACCATCATTCTCAGCAAACTATCGCAAGGACAAAAAATCAAACACTGCGTGTGCTCACTCATAGGTGGGAATGGAACAATGAGAACACTTGGACACGGGAAGGGGAACATCACACACTGGGGCCTGTTGTGGGGTGGGGGAAGGGGGAGGGATAGCATTAGGAGATATACCTAATGTAAATGACGAGTTAATGGGTGCAGCACACAAACATGGCACATGTATACATATGTAACAAACCTGCACATTGTGCACATGTACCCTAGAACTTAAAGTATAATAAAAAAAAATATATATATATAAATAAAAAAATAAAGAAGGAGACTGCTTGGGTCACTTCATCCTTTTTCCCCATCCTCCATGTTCCTTCTCCTCTGTTCCTAGCGGTCCTTCCACAAAAATGTTTGAAAAGCATAGCCATAAACTATTCTATACCTCCCCAAACAGACACACACACACACACACATACACACATACACACACACATTCAGGGAGAGACACAGAGACATTCTCATGATCTACCTTAGCAATTAATCATTCATATGTTTGTGTGTGTAATCTGCAGTGATTTTTCTTGTCATTTACTCTTATTTGTTTGTATATATTTGAGAGTATTTCTCTCATTGATAGCAACATCAAAGGAGGAAAAATGTACTTATACTTTCACTCTAACACTTTAAAGTTTCCAAAGAACTCAATTCAGAAAGTTCCAGAACTATATATGGGTGTTCCTCTAAAAGTTTGAAGTCAAAAAACATTTACCATAGAAAAAGGTTAGAAGGCCAGGCGCAGTGGCTCACACCTGTAATCCTAGCAATTTGGGAGGCCGAGCCAGGCAGATCACTTGAGGTCAGGAATTCGACACCAGCCTGGTCAACATGGTGAAACCCCATCTCTACTAAAAATACAAAAATTAGTCCGGCATAGTGGCACACGCCTGTAATCCCAGCTACTTGGGAGGCTGAGGCAGGAGAATTGCTTGAATCAAGGAGTCTGAGGTTGCAGTGAGCCAAGATGGCGCCACTGCACTCCAGCCTGAGTGACAGAGCAAGACCCTGTCTCAAAAAAAAAAAAAAAAAAAGAAGAAGAAGGTTAGAAATGGTGATGAGAATTGTATGTGAGATCACAACAGCATATTCAATCCATTGTGCAGTTAAAATATATTTTCAGTGCAATGTTGAATAAAACCAGTTTATTATAATGATGATGATTATGAAGAAGACAAAAACAAGCAATTCAATTAATAATTTATTTTAAAAGTTTAATTTGTAGGATGATGGTGGGGAGGGAAGCAGCTTCAGAGGCAAAGATGTAGAAAGAAAATTTTAAAGAGATTGTAAAACAGACTTCTAAGATATTTAGACAAGAAGGTTATTTAGGTCAGGTGTAATGGTTCACACTTGTAATCCCAGCACTTTGGGAAGCCGAGGCCAGGAATTGGAGACCAGCCTGGGCAACATAGTGAGACCAACATAGTGAGACCTTGTCTCTACAAGAAATAAGAAAATTAGCTGTGCATGGTGGTGTGCGCGCCTGTAGTCCCAGCTACCCAGAAGGCTGAAGTGGAAGGATCACTTGAGCCCAGACATTCAATGTTACAGTAAGCCAATCACACCATTGCCCTCCATCCTGGGTGACAGAGGAAGCTCCTGTCTCAAAAAAATTATTATACCTTTTCTGGTGGGGAGTGGGGGGAGTTCACCCACTCCCCACTAGAAAAAGTATAATAATAACATCTATAAAAATCAAAATGAGGCCAGGCGCGGTGGTTCACACCTGTAATCCAAGCACTTTGGGAGGCTGAGGTGGGCGGATCACTTGAGGTCAGGAGTTCAAGACCAGCCTGTCCAGCATGGTGAAACCACATCTCTACTAAAAATACAAAAATTAGCTGGACGTGATGGCACACACCTGTAATCCCAGATACTCGGCAGGCTGAGGCAGGAGAATGGCTTGAACTCAGGAGGCAAAGGTTGCAGTGAGCACAGATCATGCCACTGCACTCCAGCCTGGGTGACAGAGCAAGATTCTGTCTCGAAATAATAATAATAATAATAATAATAAATAAAAAATAATGAAAAAATAAAAAAGTGAAAATGAAAGCATAAGTAACACAATTTGAATTATATTCACTTTTTTCAGATTTTCTTCTAGTCCTTATATATCTGACTACAGGAGGTTTAAATGATGCTGATTTTCACTTAAAACATAGGCTTTCTCCTTCCTCCATACTTAGGAATCACTAACATTACTTTTTAAATGTTTTGTAATGTCTGTATGAATGTTTTTAGTTCACAAATAGCAAGAAGGAGAAAAATTGTTGAGGGTTGGGCATGGGAATAGGAAAGAAGGAGAGAAAACAGGAGGAAGAGGAAAAGGGGGAGAAAGAAGAAGAAGACAGAATTAGAGAGAAAGGGAACAAGAACAGAAAAAGTACAGATTGAAGAAAGGAGGAAAACTTAGGTAACTGAAGAAGAATTAGAAGAGGGGGAGATGTGCAACTAAAGAGATATGTGCGAAATCAATGGTCTATGGTGCTTCCTTTTGGTGCATTAAATGAAATAATCAAATTTGATGATGAATCAAATAAAGAGTTGAAAGATAACTTGAACTAGGTTGTCATATAACTTGATGAAAATTTACTGATGGCTACCCATACATAATAAATTACTCAAATACAAATAACCATATAACTAAACATGATCAGTTATTTTCAGGTAGAAGTTTAAAACAATACTGAGTTATAGACTTAGAAATTTATAGTTAATCTTGATCCTACATAATTGGAATGTTCATGTGCTTATTTGCAAGATGGAGTTCATGCTGAATCAATTTAGGGCTCTGAATTATCACAGCATGAAATATGTTGTAATTTTCCAAACCATTATACTCTTTTCAAGCCACTTAAATACTTCTAATGTGATTTAAAATTTTGGAATTTAATGGCATGTTTATCTTCTGAGATACTCAGCTTGCATATGCAACACAGAAATTCCTACAGAGTCCATATGAAGAGCCAACTTCATTCTTTCTCTATTTCATAGCAATGCTCTCAACTAAGTTCCCCTGTGCCTTATCCAACAAAGCTGGCATCCTGTAGTTATGCGATTCCAACAAAAAATAACAATGAACCCATTTTGAGTGCTTATCATGTTTCACTTCCCATGCCAAGAAATTCACATTCACTAACTGATATTTAACTAATAATACTTCCATGAGCAAACCACTTAACCAAACCTTCTGCTTTTCTACACAACGTATCTTTAAAACTGTATTCAAAAGTTACAAGTCCAAAGTTAAAAACACATGTTTTTTGGCAGCAAGTAGATACAGCTTTGACTCCCAGAGAGCTAAATCACTGTACAAAATTCTTATTGAAGTCCCAGCAGGCAGCACCTTCCTCAGGCCCAGGCAATCCAGCATGCAAGAGAGGCCCTGATGAGCCTCCAGAAAACAAAGGTCAGGAGATAGTCTGACTTTTTGGACATACCAGTTAATTCTCCCCTTCCATGTGTAAATAGATACAGGTTCCTCCCAGTCCCACAAACTTGTTACCAGTGTGTCAAGCCTTTAATAGAGGCCAGCACAAAAGGTAGCAGCTGCCAAAACATCTTAGACATGTGGAATACATGCATAAGAACAGGATTTTGTTTGCCCCACTGCTATAATAAAGTCAACTTGGTCTCAGCCAGTCAACAATGCCAAATTGTTGGTCATCATGGAAGACAGAAATACAAAAGCCTGGTGAACTATCAGCTAGCACTGAAAGCCTATGCCTGTAAGTGGTGACTGTCACATAGTATGTGATAAAGTACTTAAGTTTTGGAAGTGATTGACAACTTCATAAAACTTTTGCCTTACAGAAATGTGATGGTTGAATCTCATTAATTAATGTTGGGAAGTCAAAAAAATTACAAATAGAACTATTATATGATTCAGCAATCCCACTTCTGGGTATGTATCTAAAGGAAATGAAATCAGTATGCACTCTCATGTTCACTGCAGCATTACTCACCACAGCTAGGATATGGAATCAACCAAGTTTCCATCGATGGGGAAGTGAGTAAAGAAAATGTGGGATATATACATGATAAAAAATGATTCAGCCTTAAAAAAGAAGGAAACCTTGTCATTTACAACAACATGCATGAACCTGGAGAACCTATGGTAAGTGAAATAAGCCAGGCAGAGAAAGACAAATACTGCACGATCTCACTTAAGTATGGAATCTAAGAATGTCTAACTCATAGAACTCATAGAAGCCGAGAGTAAAACAGTAGTTACCAAGAGGTGGGAGAGATAGAGATATATTGGACAAAGGGCACAAAGTTTCAGTTAGATAGGATGAACATGTTTTATACATCTATTGTACAGCATGGTGACTATAGTTAATAATAATGTACTGTATAATTGAAATTTAATAAGAAAGTAGATCTTAAATTTCCTCACCAAAAAAAGACAACTATGTCAAGTAATGAATTTGCTAATTAGCTTGATTTTGGTAATCATTTTATAATGCATACATATATCAAAACATGTTGTATAGCATAAACATATATAATTTTTATTTCTCAATTTTATCTCAATAAACCTAGGAAAAAAAATAAAGCGAATCTCAAACATTAAAAAATAAGATAAAATAGAATAAAACCTCTTAAGCTCTCAAAACCTCAATTCAGTTTAAAGTGTGTTTATCATTGCTGTATTTATTTGCTTCAGCCTTTAAATATGGTAGAGAAAGAAATAAAATATCTTTCAAACAAAAAACTTCAAAAGTCTAAAAATAATGTGATGTCCACTTAGGTTGTAGTCAGAAGAGATTGTCACTCTCACTCTAACCAATACAAAAACAGAAAAGCTACCAAATAATGGTTGTTTTTTTTTTAATTTATGAGCGGTAAGAGAGAGGAAAAAAATCTTAATGATACCTGGAAACATAGCAGGAAGAACAAACTCATAATTAATAGGAATAAGGAAAAACTGCTGAAGTGTTAATAAACTTTTAACAGTACTGTGTGGGCTGGTCTAACAGTCTAGAATTCTGGTATGCCTTATAAAAGAACAAGTCAGCTACACACCAATTCCCCATTTGACCTTCGCTAAATCATGTCAATAGTGTAGCAAACGGCAGGGGCAGGGCAGGAGGTCTGAAAGAAATCCTCCTGAAATGCACTGAGATTTGACCAAGTACACTTCAAAATGTAGGAAGAGAGCAGAGTAAAAAATCCTCTGAGCCACGCTGGGCCATCACTGATTGCAAGGCAGAAGAACACCAAAGGCTAAACACAGGGAATGAAAATTGATAGAGGTCGCCCCAACTCACATAGGGTAGGTAGAGCAATGGCAGCAGCCTACCAAAGGATGGAGACAGGGCAGGATAACTGAAAGCCCGGAGGTTCACAGGGCTTTTACCAAAAGCAAAGCTGCAAAACCCAGAAAGCTGAAATAATATATATCTATCTTCTGAGATGTGGAAAGTTAGGGGCAGAGCGGAGAGCAAAGAAAATTCTTCAGTATCTCAAAATATAGACAGCAGGCCTGTGAAGCAGACAGAAATCTCTGTCCGTTGAGAAATCTGACAACATGAGTGAAAAACATAGTGATGTCCAGAGTCTTACCAATGCTCAGGTCCCAAGCCATAATTTAGGGAAATTCCTGATCTTGCCCTCAAAAACATGTGAAGCTAGTGATTAAATTAAGTACAAAAGCTGCAACAGAGCACAGGCTCATTGCAATTACAGACTACATTGACATAGCCCCTCATCCTTACAACTTGTTAGAAGTAGTGTGCCATTTTCTTGAAGAAAATAATACCTTCAATTTAAACTCTTCTTTGACACAATTTCTGTTATACAATCAAAAATTATGAGACATGCATAAAACCATGAGTATATATGTGATCCAGAATCAAAAGGAAAGTAGTTAATACAAGCCGACTCTCAGAGGAGACAGAGGTCAGAATTAACAGACAAGAGTTTTAAAACAACATAATAAATATTTTATGAGATTGCGAAAAATGTGTACTTAATTTACATGATAATATAGAAAATTTGAACAAAAATGTTAAAAATAGAAAAAGAATCAAATGGAAATTATAGAACTAAAAAATACAACATTTACAAAATTAGATATGAAGAAGTCATTTGATAACCTAATAGCAGATTGAATGTGGGAAGGAAAAGAATCAGTGAAGTTGAAACAAAAAAATTAAACAGGCCAGGTGCAGTGGCTCACACCTGTAATCCCAGCACTTTGGGAGGCAGAGGCAGATGGATCACGAGGTCAGGAGATTGAGACCATCCTGGTCAACATGGTGAAATCCCATCTCTAATAAAATATAAAAAATTAGCCAGGCATGGTGGTGTGTGCCTGTAATCCCAAATCTCATCTTGCATTCACATGTGTTGAGGGAGGGACCTGGAGGGAGATAATTGAATAATGGGGGCAGATATTTCCCTTGCTGTTCTCATGATAGTGAATAAGTCTCATGAGATCTGATGGTTTTAAAAATGGGAGTTTCCCTGCACAAGCTCTTTCTTTGCCTACTGCCATCCATGTAATACATGACTTGTTCCTCCTTGCTTTCTGCCATGATTGTGAGGCCTCCCCAGCCATGTGGAACTATAAGTCCATTAAGCTCTTTTTCCTGTATATGTCTTTATCAGCAGCATAAAAACAAACTAATACATATATATACTAATTTTAAAAATGGTGAAAAATCCTGGCTAACATGGTGAAACCCCATCTCTACTAAAAATACAAAAAATTAGCCGGGCGTGGTGACGGGCACCTGTAGTCCCAGCTACTCGGGAGGCCGGGGCAGGAGAATGGCATGAACCCAGGAGGAGGAGGTTGCAGTGAGCGGAGATTGTGCCACTGCACTCCAGCCTGGGCGACAGAGCAAGACTCCGTCTCAAAAAAAAAAAAAAAACTGGTGACAATAAGGAAGTTGCTGAGATTATATAAATATATACCGAGACATTGTGACTAGACATTGTAGACTTTGTGACTAGAAGTAAACAGAAAAAATGACAAAATGTAGATTTATCAAGAAGATGCAGCAATATAATAGTGTATGTTACAATAATAAAGCCACCAAAGTACATGATTAAAAGACTGAGACCTAACAGAAGAAATACATAAAATCACAAATTAGCTGAGGATTATAACATTCTCTTGACATTGATTCATAATAGAAGCAGTTAAAAACAGATTATTAAGGGTATAGATAATGTGAGTGCTATCAACCAACTTGACCTACTCGGCATTAATAGAGCACTATAACCAACCTCTCCAGAATACACATTATTTTCAGGAATATATGGAACATTCACCATGATAGAACATATACTGGGCCATAAATCAAGTCCCCGTATATTTCAAAGAATTGAAACCATACAGTTTGGCTGTGTCTCCAACCAAATCGCATCTTGAATTCCCATGTGTTGTGGGAGGGACCTGGTGGGAGGTAACTGAATTATGGGAGCAGGTCTTTCTCATGCTGTTCTCATAATAGTGAATAAGTCTCATGAGATCTGATGGTTTTTATAGAGAGGAGTTTCCCTACACAAGCTCCCTCTTTGCCTGCTGCCATCCATGTAAGATGTGACTTGCTCCTCCTTGCCTTCTGCCATGATGATGAGGCCTCCCCAGCCACATGAAACTGTAAGTCCATTAAACCCTTTTTCCTGTATAAATTACCCACTCTTGGTATGTCTTTATAAGAAATGTGAAAACAAACTAATACAGTAAATTCGTACCAGTAGAGTGGGGCCCTGCTGAAAAGATACCCAAAAATGTGGAAGTGACTTTGGGATGGGGTAACAGGCAGAGATTGGAACAGTTGTGTTTTGGAGACAACATTATTAAATCTACAATTAATGTAAAAATCCTCAAATATTTGGAAATTAAGCAACACTTCTCAAAAACTCATGGATCAAAAGAGAAATCACGGAGAAAACTGGAATTATTTTAAGTGGAATAATAATGAAAATACAACACATCAGTGTTTTACATAAAGCATATCTCACAGCAAAATTCATAGTAATTAAATGAGAATATTGGGGAAAAAAGAAGAGTTTAAATTGAATTATCCAATCTTACTCTTTCGAAATTTGAAAAAGGAAGAATAAATTAGAACCAAAGAAAGTAGGAAAGGTGAAAATTTAAAGATAGAAATAGAAATCAATGAAACAGAAAACGCACTAACAATAGATAAATCAACAAAGTCAAAAGACCATCCTTTTTAAAAGATTAATGAAATTGCTAAACTTCTAGCAGGACTGATCAAGAGGAGAAATAGAGTAAGTATAAATTACTAATATAACAGATGAAAGAGGGACATCACCTCAAAGCTTGTAGATATTAAAAGTATTATAAACAATTTTATTCCAATGAATTTGACATCTGAAATAGTATGAGCAAATTCCTTGAAAAATACAACTTAAAACTCGCACAAGAAAAGAAACAAAATGTGAGTAGCTATATGTTATGAGTTGAATTGTCTACCCCCAAAATTCTATGTTGAAGTCCTAACCCCCAGTACCTCAAAATGTAACTTTATTTGGACTTTGGGTCTTTAAAGAGGTAATTTATTTAGTATGATGCCATTAAGTTGGGCCCTAACCTAATATGACTGATGTTCTTATAAAAAGATAAAATCACAGATATACACAGAGGGAATACATGTAATAAGAAAGAGAACTCACCAATCTATCAGTCAAGAAGAGAAGCCTCAAAAGAAACTAATCATGCTGACACACTGATGTCAGACTTCTAGACTCCAGAATTAAAAGAATATAAATTTCCATTGTTTAAGCCACTCAGTCTGTAGGACTTTGTTATGGCTTTCCTAGAAACTGATACAGCATACTACTGGTAATGAAAGGAAGACTGCAAAAAAAAAAAAGATATAATGCAGTCATCTCAATATATTTAATTGATATACTGATACAATGTATCTCAGCATAAAAATTAAGATATAATACAGTAATCTCAATAGATTTTTTAAACTATATTTAACAATATTAAACACCCAGTCATAATTCAAAATTCTTAGCAAATTAGGAATAGATAGGAATTGTTTAAATATAATAAAAGGCATTTATTTTTAAGAACTCACATCCTATATAATAGTAAAACGCTGAAGGCTGTCACCCTAAAACTGGGAACAAGGTAGGGTGTCTTCCCTCATTACTTCATGATGCTATGTCCTAGCCAGTACAAAAAATCAAGAAAAAGAAAAATAGCCAAAATATTGGAAAGAAAGTGAAACCATCATTATCTGCTGATAACATTATGGTATATGAATAAAACTCTAGGGAGTTTCCAGAAATCAACAAAAAATAAAAAGTGAATTAGCAAGGTCTCAGAGTACACAATCAGTATCCAAAAATTAACTCTTTTAAAATATTACCAACAATTAGAAATTGTGGTTTAAATATACTACCATTTACAATGGCATTTTAAAAATTACATGCGAAAGACTAAATCTAACCAAATTTCAAGATCTTTATTAAAAAAATAAAAATAATTGCTCAAAGTAATTAAAGATCTAAGTAAATGTGAAGATATACTATTTCATAAAATTGGAAGACTAAAATTTGTAAGATCTCCTTTCTCCCCAAATTGATAGATAGGTTTAATGCAGTCTCAGTTAAACGTAAGCAGGTGTCTTGGACAAAATACAAGCAGTTTCTAAAATTTGTATTGAACGACAAAGTATTAGAAAAGCCAAAGCAATGTTAAAAGAGAACAAAAAAAATGTTTAAGGGCTTGCATTACCTGATTTCAAGGCTTACTATAAAGCTACAACTATCATGTGATGTTGACATAACAATATATATACCTACCAATAGAGCAGAATAGAGATTTCAGAAATAGACAACATACAGATGATCAACTGGTTTTTTGAAAAGGTGTCAAGATAATTTAATAGGGGAAATTATAACCTACTCTAAAAATCATATTAGTACTCTCTATCCATATTTAAAAAAATCCTTGGCAGTTACTTCACATTACATGTAAAAAAAATTAACTCATTACTGATCATTGATCTAATTGTAAAAGCTAGAATCATAAAGCTTCTAGAAGAAAAAAGTAAGAGAACATCTTCACGACCTTGAGGGTAGTCAAACAGTTGTTGAACAAAACATAAAACAGAAGCCATTAAAGAACAAAAGTTAACACTATCATCACAATAATCAAAAAATCATTTGTCATCAGGGAAATGCAAATCACAAACCACAATCAACAGATTTTTTAAAGCAGACAACAACAAATATTGGCAAAGATATTGAGAAATTGGAAACCTCACACAATTGCTGGTGGGAATGTAAAATGGTGCAGTTGGAAAACATTTAAGCAGTTCCTCAAAAAAAGTGAAAAACAGAGCTGTCATATAGCCCAGCAATTCCATTCTTAGAAATATACTTGAGAGAATGGAAAACTTAAGGTTACCCCAAACCTGAACATTGATATTTATAACAGTATTGGTTGTAGTAGACAAAAATGGAAACAACCCAAATGCCTATCAATTGATGAATGAATTTTAAATGTAGTATATCCATACAGTGAAATATTATCCAGCCATAAATCATGCTAAATGAAATAAGCCACCTACAAAAGGCCACAGATTGTATTATTCCATTTATATGAGCTGTCCAGAATAGGCAATTCTGCATGATTTTTTTAAGTAAATTACCAGCTGCCAGGGTCTGGGGGAAAAGGAGAATGAGGAGTGAGTGCTAATAGATATGGGGTATATCTGAGATGTGATGAAAATGTTTAGAATTACATAGTGGTGATGGTTGCACAACTTTGTGAATATACTAAAAAACACTGAATTGCTCACTTTAAAGAGTGAATTTGATGGGATGTGAATTACATTTCAATTTTTCTAAAAAGGAAATCATTAAGAAAATGAATAGACAAGACACAGACTGGGAGAATATGTTAAGAACATTTATCTGACAAAGATCTTTTACAATATAGAAAGAATTCCTAAAAATAAACAATACAAAGACAAAAAATTAAAAATGGGTAGAAGAATTGAAGAGACACCTCATAAAGAAAGACATGGAAAGGCCAATAAACACATAAAAAGTTCCTCAACATAATTCTTAAGCAGAGAAATGCAAATAAAGCCACAATGTGATAAAATTTTAATCTCACTAGAGTAGTTGAAATAAAAAAGATAAATAATACCAAGTAATGGCAAGGATGTGGAACAAATGGAACCTTCATACATTGCTGTTGAGATTGTCAAATGGTACAACCACTGTGAAACACTGGCAATTTAACATAGGGTTCTGTGATGCAGCAATCCCACTGCCAGGAATTTACCCAAGGAATATAAAAACATTACGTCCATAAAATGGCTTTTACAAGAGTATCTTAGTGCTCTTATTTACAATAGCCCAAACTGGAAATAACAGAAATGTTCATCATCAAGAGAAAGGAAAATGGTGATACATTCATATAACAGGAAATTGCTCAATTACAATTTAAAAAATGAAAAACTGATCCATGCAAAAATATGGATGAATCTTACATATATTTTGACTCAAGAAGCCAAACCCAAAAGAACAGATACTGTATGAATCAATGTATATGAAGTCCAAGACATGCAAAACTAATCCATGTTGTCTCTGGTGTTTGGAGGAGAGTAATGGTAAAGCAACTAGGAAGGAACACAGGGAGCATTCTGGGTGATGGAACTGTTATGTATTGGTTTGAGTGGTGACTGTACAGGTTTGCACAATAGTCAAAATCTTTGGAATTGTAAACTTAAGACCTTTCACATTCTAAGTACACTACTCCTTTAAACATTAAATAAACATAAAAAAACGTAAAAACCTAAACAATAAATCAATTCAGAAGTTATCCAGACTCCACTAAATATCAAAGAGTTTAGATTCAGGTTGAGTTTATGGCCAAAGTCTTAGGAACTATTTTTTTCTGGCCTACTTTTTTATTCATTCTTTACATTAATACCATGTTTGTAAGATATGCCTTTGTGTACATATTTTGCTCAATACAAGCACTAATATTTAAACTGGATTAAATGACCCCAGTGCACACAAGCATACACATTCATTAATACTCCTTTCTAGCAGCATTATGAAGTGTTTTTTGACATCATTTTTTTTTTTCTTTTTTTTTTTTTGAGACGGAGTCTCGCTCTGTCGCCCAGGCTGGAGTGCAGTGGCGGGATCTCGGCTCACTGCAAGCTCCGCCTCCCGGGTTCACGCCATTCTCCTGCCTCAGCCTCCCAAGTAGCTGGGACTACAGGCGCCCGCCACTACGCCCGGCTAATTTTTTGTATTTTTAGTAGAGACGGGGTTTCACCGTTTTAGCCCGGATGGTCTCGATCTCCTGACCTCGTGATCCGCCCGCCTCGGCCTCCCAAAGTGCTGGGATTACAGGCGTGAGCCACCGCGCCCGGCCGACATCATTTTTTAATTAAATAAAAAAAAGTTTTCAATTACCAGTACTATAAACTTTTAGAATTGTGGGATTAATCCAAACCACTTCCTTCAAAGACAAGTGAATTAAATATACTCATGGAGGAAGCATAGATTAGAATCATGATTTTTATCTATTTTAAGAGAATAGAAGAACAGAAGGGGTTACAATCTTGCAATATTATGCAACTCTTCTGCTCTAATATATCAAAAACTTGATGATCCAAGATCATGCAGAACAGCTGAGAAGAAATCAAAGTAAACAGTGTACCTTGCAGCCAACAGATCCTGCCAATATGAGATTAGAACTCTCCATCCTAGCAAAAAAAAAAAAAAAATGGTTTTGGAAAGTTCCCTGCAACATTTTATGACTCACAGATATTCCCAGAGGTTCCTGTTTGCATTCTGCAGTAGACAGTGTTTGAAGGAAGACGTGCAGTTCTAGTCAACTGTTGTTCTTAAGCAACTTGGCTGAAAGATCTGTTTAAAAAACATTTGTTGGAAAGATGATATGTTTGGTTGTTTTAATTTTTTTAAACAAAATTGCAGATTTTAAATTTGTTTAACTCTTAATTCAACATTGACTAAAAGTACAGCCTAAGAAAAATTACTATGTTACATAATATATATTACAAACGTAGCAACTTTCTCATTCGAAAATTCCCAAACCAGGGGGTACCTATTCTTGGCATAGTCCCCCTTGCATATCCTTCCAAACTGCCTCCAGATCCCTGGCTCTGTATTCCATAGCTCTGGCTCTCACCTTTGCCACCCAGTTCAATATCCCACCTTGGCTTCTACTTTGACCAACACTGCCAAGTCACCTCCCATCCCACCAGGACTTGATTCCTGGCTAATCTCCACTTTTGTCTAACCCCAGCTCTCTTGTTTGCTTCTAAGTATTAAATACCACTCATGAGCTACATTTCTCCCCACCCTCAACCAGCTCCACTCCACTCCACCTACAGGTTAGTAGTCTTCATTCCCCCAAGGCCTCTTCTCCGTTCCTAGCCAGCTCCCCCATTCTTCAGGTTCTTTTCTCCCCAAGTCCCCAAATAATAAAATACCTGGTTCTTAACAGTTGCCATCATTTACATAAGGTCATGTGTGGCTTTTTCTGATAATAACTATAAAGATATGGATATGAGAGAAGGTATAATATTATAAAATGTTTTTATATTTTAAAATAAAAATTATTATTTTATATTATAAATATATTTTATAATATAAAATTTAAATTTTATATTATAAAATAAAATATGTTAACATTATCCCAGTAAAAGCCGTTCTTTCATTTAATTTGCATGTTAATAGAAGGAAGACTGATCTCTCCTGACTCCTTAAGTGACTCATTGCTGCTGCTGCTCTACTACCAAGCCCAATCTTCCATTTCTCGTTGACTCTTGGCTATTCCCTCAAACTTGCTATCTTTAAAAAAAATTTGCTCTCCCAGGTTCACACCCATACCTCCTTTGATTCTGTTGTGAATCAGACTCTGCATAGATGTGGCAAAATAGATCTAGCCTAGACACATGTTTAGTGTGACTTACACAGCATTTTAGATTTTTTCAGGCGGGCACAGTGGCTCACACCTATAATCTCAGCAATTTGGGAGGCCAAGGTGGGTGGACCACCTGAAGCCAGGAATTTGAGAGCAGCCTGGCCAACATGGCGAAATCTCGTCTCTACAAAAATACAAAAAATTAGCTGGGTGTGGAGGCATGCGCCTGTAATCCCAGCTACTCAGGAGGCTGAGGCATGACAATTGCTTGAACCTTGGAAGCGGAGGTTACAGTGAGCTGAGACTGCGCCACTGCACTCCAGCCTATACAACAGAGTAAGACTCTGTCTCAAAAAAAAAAAAAAAAAAGATTTGTTTCAATTTGCTAACTGTTTAAAAATTGGAAAACTGAGCCTACAAATAGAGATTTCCAGCTTCACTTGATGCTCAGATCATCCAACTCTGGATTTACATTTGTGCATAGCAGCATCTCTTATCAAAATACCAGGGATTCAGGCTAGGTCCTGCTGCTCACCACACAGAAAGCCAATCACTGAGCCAAGGAAGAAGGCTTTATTCAGATGCTGCAGCTGAGGAGATGGAAGATCAGTCTCAAATTCATCTCCTCAACCAACTAAAATTAGGGGGTTTTACAGCAGGAAAGAAATGTAACTATGTGTGGGAAAATAGGAATTAGAGAGGGGTAAGGAAAAAGAGTTGGTCAGCAGGAAGCAGGTGGTCAGTTAGGCAATCACGACAGGTGTGGGGTCTGACATCTCATTGTCCAGATGCAGTAATTTCCTAACTTTCAGTTCCTTGGAACTATTTGGGAGGCCTGATGGTTGATTTTTCTGAGAAAGGAACTCAGATAAGACAAATATAAGTTTCTCAGGTTTTAAGACTGAGAGGATCAATGTCCATGTTTATTCAAAAGAAACCATAAACATCAGTTCTATGGGACAACTGGGCCAGTTTTAGCCCCTTCTTTCTATTTATGAATTCCCCAATCATGGGGAATCTGGCCATCAGTCTTTCTGACTGCTTCATGCTGAGAAGGGGTGTCATGGGATAAGGCTAAGAGTCAACCCACTTCTGGGGCTCTGTAGACCATCAGCAGGGTAAGGGGCAAGACCTTTTCCCAGGTAAGACTGGTCTCTTGACAACTGGGTTCCCCTTGGCCACAAGTGGCTCCATTCAGTCAGTGGGGGGCTTAGGACTTTTTGTCCCATACCATTGCTGGAGTAGTGTGCTACATGCCCCAGGTTCACCCTGTTCCTCAGTGGGACCTCTATGGCCAAGGGAATTAGAGTCAAGACTTATAGCAAATTAAATGTCCTAGGAAAGATGGGATTGGAGGTGGGCAGATACTCATAATCTTTAAAACTATTTAAGCAACTTAAGACTTAAAAACTAAAAGACAAAAAGTAAGGTTACAGTATTGTTTACAACTCCAAGGAATCTCCTTTGCCATTAAGAGGCCACACTCTGGCCTGGGAGGCCCAGCTCCCTAGGCTCCCAAACCACGTTGTGTCTTCAACCTTGGCCTAGAATGGTGAGCTCTTTTTAAGGTCTACATAAGGGCACATAAACCCATCACAAAATAAAATATATAACTAATTTTAGTACTCAAAATCTCACACATCCACCTTTTCCACAATAGTCCCTGGGCCTAAGGGGATTGAATAGTTTTCATTTCTGGCCCTGTGTCTCACAAAAGCAGCTCATTTTGATTGTCACCTCTCCTGGGTTTCTGAAGTTGAGGTTTTGACTGATGTCAGTGTTCAAGGTTTAGCAGGTGTCAGTGCCATTTGCAGACCCAGGAGTCAAAACCTGGTAACTTAGCAGCACAAGGATTAATTAATAGGATGTTTTCCAAAGACGTTTAAAGCCTCAAAACATTTGATCAAAACAGAATTACAGGTCATTGTAAAATAATAATTATTCATTTAACCAAAGTTAAAAAGACTTCCAAAACAATATAAAAATAAAGTTACAATATACGAGCACTCTACCTATAATATGCAGATAGACTACTTTGGTGTAAAATAAGTTTCTATCTTCAATATAGATGATCAAGTATAGTATATGCATTTAAGATAAGAACAGAAGCCAAAGCTTAATGAAATGTTTACAGACATATATAAGAACATCTAGAAATTTGTGGTTCAGTTTACTAATACTGCAGAAAGTCCCATAATTCTAACATGACTCTAGATGTCATGTAGAGTGACTAACATGTAGAGTCACTAACATGACTCTAACATGTCACAAATTAAAACACTGTCATTTGGTGTCTAGTAGTTGCCACCTGCTGCACTTCAAACCACTGTATTAAAGTGGTTAGGTTACTACTTCCATATGTCTAATTGCTGGCATTCTAGTGACGCAATTGTGACCAAAAGCATCAAAAATATGACAAGTCCTGTGACAAACTTATCAATGTGCAACAGTTATCATTTTTTCCATCATTAAAAAAATGGTAAAAGCAAATATCAGTTTTGGAAATTCAGTATGAAGATAAATAATCTCCTTCCACTTAAATACTATATAACAAAACAGGGACAAACTAAGAACAAGCACACAATAATTTGTTTTCAGCTATTTAAAAGAGTATCATCACTTCCAGGGCTGGTTTCTAGTGCAGCACTAACAAGTGATTAGGTGACATTCACCACTAGAATCATCAAACCAGGACATCACTTATACATATTTTGTTTTTGTTTTCAACTACACACACTAACAGTGATAAAAACCTTGAGATTAAAAATCACTAGAAAGTCTCATATTTTTAATTACTACTTAATCAAAGTGAGTATCACTTGATTTTAATAATGTTACTAAACACAACTAAAATAATTTGAGTGAAATTTGTTAATATAATTTCCTTAAGAACAAGGCCAATCTTTCCTAAACATTAAAACTTTGTATCCGTATCACAGTCTTTCCGTATTATCTAAAGAAAAAGATCTGAAACTAACTCAAATTATTGATTGAACTGAACTACCTGAAATAAGCACCATTTAAACAATTTTATTCTCAGCTACTTTCTTAAATAACAAAATAATGTACTATTTCTGTTTAGAATTTATAAAAATAAGTCAAGTCTTTTAATTTTGGCCAGAAAACTTAAACTCTTAAAGCTCTCTAGATCATTATAGGTAAGCAAAACCAATTCAGTTTTAAATGGCTAGTGTGCTCTTTTTTTTTTTTTTGGAGACTTGACAAAGGTAGCTTAGGAATTTTAGATAAATAGAACAAATGATGAACTGTTAGAAATGCACAGGAAACAAAATGACTACTATATATATAGAACCAAATACAAGCCTTCTGTTAGAAACTAAAAATACCAATAATTTTATATATATAATTTATATATTTATTTATTTGCTATTTGTTATATATTTATTTGCTATCTGTTCTCCTTTGGGTTTTACATATATATGTATAGATATGCTTATATATTTATGCTTCTATTTATTTATATATGCATATAATATATATGTATATATACATATATATAAACCCAAAAAAGTACAAATAGCAAATAAATGAAAAATGAAAGCAAAAACAAACAAAAAACCAACCCCAAATTTTTTTCTATTCAGTTTACCTTAGAGGCTACAGTGTTACAGAGAGCTAAAACACACACACACACACACACACACACACACACACACACACAATAAATATGTTGTTTTTGATACACAAATTAATGTCTTTACGTCCACCAATACCACTATACATTTTGTGTATTTGAGAAATTTACTTTAGGCACTTGGCAAGTAAGGACTTTAGTGCTAGTACCACCAATGCAGAATAGCAAACACAGTGTGAAATCAACCAACAGAAGCATTTATGTGAAAATTGACTCCCTGCTAAATCTAGCTTCATGCTTAACTATATTTAAAAAAAGATTTGCCAAAATGCCAATGTATTTCTTTACAATATTTCTTATCTTACCTTTATCAAGACTAAGAAGCTTTAACTATGAGCAATGTTAATTAGCCTAATTTCTCCAATTTCCTATCAGGTTTTTACTTTTTCATCTTTCTATTTTCTCTGTATGTGCCTGAAGACAGACATACACAGAAACAGGAGAAAAACTACATATGACTTACACAGACAATGTATGACATGCTTGAATTTTCTGCTTGGTCTTAAATTCTCTCGTGTTAAAAAAAACAGTCATTTTATTTTAGGACAAAAATTTACCATAGTCCATAATTTGAATCAACCTTTAGATAAATTCTGAATTAGACAAAATTATTCTTTTTTCATAAGGACAGAAATTCTCTGGCACATTTTATATACAGAATTATATGTTAACTACAGTTCTTATTCTTAGTAACCTTAAATTTTAGTGAAAATCACTAGGAAGTAAGAAATCCTGAACTATCAGATATTAGTATTTTATATTTGAGAACATTCTACAGTTTTTAAAAATACTTTTGTCTATATCAAAACCTTTTTTAAATGAAAATGACCAGACATCCAAAATAATTTGGATGACTCATCATCAAAATAATTAAGATTTTAAATTACACAAAAAGTTCACCTACAAGCATTTATCCTATTTACATGTACTCAATTCTTTAATTTTTTAAAGTTTATCTGGATTACTTCTGAAAACTGAGACATTAGACAAAGCTAGTGGTTAGCTCCTCGTTAACCATTTCATAACCTGAGAATATCAGGTGTTCATCTAAGTAAGAACCTTAAATCCATGGGTATTTTTGCTAATAACTCAGAAGATTCAACTGTCTTTATTAAACTAACAACATTAAATTTGTCCAAAAAGTCACACAAAGGTTACTTGTGTTTTGGCTGGGTTTATAGTTTTATAACCTTCTGTGCCAAACCCTGACACCTCAAAATATATAGAAGAGACAAATATAAAACGTAGACAAAAATGTATGCTGACAACTCCAAAGACATTTCTATTTCTATCTTAATAATTTTAAAGCCAGCTTGTTTATTAAAGAATTACTTAAATCATGTGAACTTGAAAATTGCTTGGACTTATTTACTTAATTTACGACCACTATTTATAAGCCAATTTAGTAGACACAACATATAACATAATAAATGTACATACACATAAACACATTGAAATGTGTATACACACACATAAACAAAGATCCAATAGCTTTTATCTCAGAACTCCAGCCATGAGATAGCAATAAAAACTCATTGTTTTATGAACATGTTTACATGGCTAAACTTTGCCCCAAGAGGTAATCCAATGAAGGATATGAACCAGAATGTTGGACGAAACAGTTTCCATGGCAGTTTGAGTTTTAAAGGCCAAACCTTCCCAGACTTCAAAAAACTCTCGGGTCAAACAGCATCACAGAAGAACCTCATGTACTTACAGACCTGAACCTGCTTAGAATAGCAGCATAAAAGCCTGGATACACAGAACTCCATCCCACTTTCCTGTTCAATAGCAATGAGGCTTATGGAGATGCCAAACCGCTCCAGACACCAAAGAATATTGGGAAGTATACTGACACACACACATAAACAAACAATCACCAAAGCACAATCCACCTGCTGCAGCAACAAGCAAGTCCCAAGAATATCTAAACTGAAACAGTCAGGATGCTTCCTCTCTCCATCGGTTGGGCTTGTTCATCCTGCAAATGGAAATTCTTTTGGAATTCCCCAAATTGAGAAGAGCACATCCCCCTGTCTGGTACCCACAAAAGACACTAACCTATCCAGACGCAGATGTCAAATATCAAAGGCTACTCTTCCTAGGCAATCAGGAATGTAGTTGGGGCTGGCATTAGTGGGACCAAAGAAAGAGAGACCAAGACTCACCTCCAGCCAAAAATGGGCAGGTAGCTGCTTAGGAGGGCTTCTGAAACCCTTTTGGCCTGTAGCAGCCAAGCCACAAGCAATGTATGCCTGGTCAAGGAACCAAAATGTGTTACTGAAACACCAGAGGTTCAGACTAGGTCCCGCTACTCATCACACAAAAAGCCAATTTTCTAAGAGGAGTATTGCCTGGAAAAAGGCTTTATGCATGTGCTGCAAAAGGAATTAGGGAGGGGTAAGAAAGAGGAGTTGGTCAACAGGTAGCAGGAGGTCAGTTAGTCAATCACGACAGGTGAGAGGCTATGATTCAGTTCCCCTATATTATTTGAGAGGCCTGATTATTGGTCTTACAATTTTAGATGTATAAGATAAGACAAATGTAGCTCCTCAAGTTTTAAGACTGAGAGGGTTAATTTCCAACATCAGTTCTATGGAACAATTGGGCCAGTTTCACCTTGGTATAAGTCAAGCAAGATATATGTGGATGCAGCAGCTTTCCAGCAGGCAGCTGGACATAAAGATCTGGAGTTCATGGAAGTGGTCTAGGCTGAAGATATGGATTTAGGAGTCTTCAGAACATAAATAGTAGCAGAAGGCCTGAAGGTGGGCTAAAATAGGATCATGTGGGGGAGAAAATATAGCAAGAAGGTCACAAGACCAGGAGCAGAGCTCTGAAGACCACTGATATTTAAGATTCTACCTAAGGGATATGAGAAATAGCAGTAGGAGGAAAAGGAGGATAACTTATTAGATAAGTATCTCAGGAAAAAAAGGGAGAATTTTCAGGAAGGAAGGACTGATCAAACAGTATTAATTGCCATAGAAGTGGGTCAAGTCAAAATCATAAAAATATTTATTGGATTTGGCAATATGGAGGTTACTGGTGAACCCACTGGTTGTTCAAATAGAGAAGGGGCAAGAACCAGATTGTAGAGGTTAAATAGGGAAGACTTGAGAAAATAAGATAGTTAATGTAGCCCAATTTATGCAAGCACTCCCATGAATAGAAGGAGAGAATAGTGACAGATCTAAGACAGTCAAAATGACATTAATACATTGACCTAAGTCATTATATTACATTACATTACTCCATACTAGTAAGTGTTAGTTGACTGAGTGTGGATGTATGAATAAATATTAATTATAAAGAAGTAATTGACTTTAATAGAAAGGTAACAAGTTCTCCAACACTCTTTTCCAACTTAAGTTCATCAGCATAGTACATTAATATAATGATGATTAGTTTAAAAAATCCTGGATTAGTTATTTCATTTATGCTCATTTCTTGCCAAATGCTAGCAAATGCTTGCAATGGATACATCTAAAATCATGAGCAACTATAGGCCGCTTGAGGCAAAGTAAAGAAAATTGGATTGGGGTCCACCTCAGGTTTCCAACCACTCACATGTATGATGTTGACCAAGTCTCTTCATCTCTCCAGCTCTTAGTTTGCTTTCTGTTTAATGGAGTATGAGCTAAACAAGGATAGAAAATAGACAGCAAGTCATTTCAGTAATTGTAAAACCTAACTGGAACTCCAGGATAAGATCCTTTTGCAAGGAAAAATTACTATCAATGTTCATACCAATTTTTGCTTTGGTGACATTTGGAGCTATGTATACATTTCATAAGATATACTCCATATCAAGCCATCAAAATCGTCACATATATATGACATGCTAAAAGCCCAAATCAAAAAAGCATTTTTAAAATATAAATCAGAAACACAATGGAATTAATTTATTTGCTTTTACTATTTTTAACATTACATATAATTTAAAATATATATGACTATGTACAGATATATTAGACAAGTTTAGAAAACAGAAACCAAATTGTTTCCAACAGAGAGGATTTAATGGAAGAAACTGGTTTCACAGGTGTCAGAAGGTTGAATAAGTAAAGTCACATAAAGGTAACTCAGGAAGTAGCTACAATGCCTGAGGTTAGGGAAATAAATGGGAAAAGATGGGGATAACAGGAGGAGGAGCCACCAGACCTGGTGCTCTAAGGAAGAGGCTTGGGTTGGCTGCTGCTGGCTCTCTGAGGGAAATGTTCAGGCATTTCTGGAAGTGCCAACAGGAACTGGAGGCTGGAGCCACTTCCACAATGGAGGCCACCAACTAACGCTTAGGAGAACTGCCATTTTAGAGTTGAAGCCAGCAAGAATAAAACAAATTTTAAAACAGGAAGGAAGTCTTGTCTCCTCTTCCAATCCCCATTCCTCAATAACTTCAAGTCTCACTCCAATACTTTCAAAAAGCTGCCAAGGGAATCAGAGGTATGAAATCTGCAAAGTCACAGCCCTAGCATTACAAACTAGTGTCAAAAAAGGAGGACACGTTGCTGAGAGACAGCAGGCAAATTACTTGCACAACTTTGCTTTTTAAGAAAAGTAAAGGTTAATTGCATTGTAGTTAATAGCACAAAAATTAACATTGAAGAAAGTATCTTGCAAAACATGAGAATTATGGGGACGCTTACATGAACAAATAAGCACATATAAGCAGAAAAGAGAAAGTTGTCCCATGATTAGGAACAGAAAGCAGAAAGAGGGAGGTAAGAAAAAAATATGGACTTCATGGAAAAGATTTATGTTAAAAAAGGAAAAATGACACTAATGTTAAAATACAATAATCATAATATTAAAAGTTCTATATAATTAAATTAGGTTTCAGGTATGAGAAATTGACCATTATATTGGTGCCACAAGTCATCATGAAATGTCTAAAATCTATGATTACTGGGCTTCTAGGCTCATGGCATTTGCTTTGTCAACAAGTGCCCCAGAGTTAAGATAGACCAATAGTGACATCTGCTGCCATGGACTTATTTTTAAAAGGGCCAGTCTTGACATTTGCAAGTTAAGATTCCTGCCAAACCACTGGCCTTCTGCTGTGATGAGTCAGCATTTCTGGAACTCCTGTTTGTCATCTGTGCTATTAGAAGATTTTCTAAGGTGAACACAGAACATGGGAAAATGAGAGAATGTTTGAAAATGTAACTAAAACAAACAAAAACAGTAGGGACAGAGGGAGTAAGTGACGAGACAGAAACTTCACATTGTCTTTTCACATCCTGTTTTTCCTTTGGCTAAGTAAGTCCCAATTAATCTTGCAGTTGTTAGCAAGCATAAGCATGTTTTCAGTGAAAAGAAGGATTAATTTAACTGTTGCCAGCTTCAGTAGATTCCAACCCAAAATTTACAGCATAATATTTAGACCAGAAAAAAAAAATAAAAGTCCAACAACCAAAGGAGGGTATGTGGGAAATTTTTAGAGCAACCCTTGCTTAGGAAACCACTTCCTAGCTAAGTGTTTACCTTGATTATACCTCTTTCAACATCTGCTGACCCTCTGCTTCTTCCTTTTTCCTTTCTGAAAGGCAAGAGAACATAAGGTTTGAATCAAAAATATATTTTTGATATTTAAAAAAACATATTATCACCAGTGTAAAGTGGTCAGTGTGGCTCATTTATATGAACCCACAAATATTACCTCAAGAAAATCATGAGTTAATTTATTTGCTCTAGAAAAAAAATGGCAAATTATATGAATCTCTACCCCAGTTATGAAAGAAGATGAACAAAAGAGACAGATGTTTCAGCTGATGGAGAACTGAATTAAGAGTTCTGGCTAGTACACGTTCTAGTTATGAAATAAGATGAACAAAACAGACAGATGTTTCAGCTGATGGAGAACTGAAGTAAGAGTTATGACTTCTAGTACAAGGTTCTGACCATGCCTCAATGTGTCATCTTGAGGAAATTACATAACTTCTCTGAGCCTTAGTTTTCTCTTCTGTAAAATGAAAGGATGAGGCTATATGAGGGATGAAAAAATGGGATGCAACTCATTTCCCTTCTTGGGTTAACTGGCAATAGTTGCCTATGAGTTAATTGCTGTAACTCATAAGCTGCACCCAGACTCCATGGAAAAGAGTGCTGACTAATTGGCAGGGTCTGCTGTGGACAACATAAATGTGAGCAGCTGCATGCACATCACACAGATATCAATTCACAAACAAGACAATTTATTACTTTTTCTTTAGCTGTAGATTCTGTTACCAGCCATCATTTTTAGTGCCTACTGTATTTTAGCTGTGCAAGATGCTCTAAGAACATTATTTCTAATCTTCACAACATTTTAAAGACAAGAAAACCAAGCCTCAGAAAAATTAAATAATTTTTTCAAAGCTGTATAACATAGCTGGACCCAATTACTAACATAATCTCCCAACATTCTCCATTATAAATAAAAACTTCTCATATTTTGGATCACATCCCCTAGCCCTCTCAAAACACAAAAGCTATATTATAACATAATTGTGTCTTGTCAGATGATTCCTTAATACATCTGTATACCTACCTAAAGAAAGGATAAAGGTTCAGACATGAAATTTGGCTGGCCTACATAAACATAAAGGGCAGGGGAGGAGTCTCAGGGCAAACATGGCTAAGAAAATGGTTTTTTCCAACAAACAAACTGAATGTATGCTGAAAATTAAAAGTGACAAAGGAAGGAACAATAACTAAAAGTCATGTTTAACTTTAAAGCAAATAGAATTCTACACAAATAAAATTAGAGGGATACCAAATCCAAGTTGAAAAGAACCATAAAAACAGGATACTGTGTATTGACTCAATCTGGAAAGCATAGCTGACTTAATTGGTATAGCAATCTGGGGTGTAGCAGACACACATGGATGTTCAATAAACACTATTTGATGGTGATGGTTTATAAGTAATTCAGACAATGGATTCCTGTTGAAAAATATTTTTTGAAGCTTCTTTAATTAGATACAATATCTTGTAAATGTTTTAGGTTATGTTGTTTATGTTTATGTTTAGGTTTAGGTTTAGCTTATGTTGTTTAGGTCCAGGTAAAGTAGAAAACAAACACGTTAACTTTTTATTGGAACAAACTAACTCTTCTCATCAGATAATAGAATCCTCAGAAGTTTTTAAAAGTAGCATCACAAAATTGGTCTATATTGACTAGTTACAAAATTACATACTGATGCTTTCAAAGTAAACACTTAGAAATTTACAATTGCCTTTGGAAAATTACTCAGCAATATGCATTAGTAAAAAAGCTTTAAGAAAACCAGATGCAAGAATTAAACCATGGCAGAAAAAAATGAGTGTTAGTGGTTAGATTGGATCTCATATCAAAGCACCTTGTGTTCCTGTAATTAACAGACTAATTTATTCATATTATAAATATTTATTCTTCACTTATCATGTACTCAGTACTCCAGCAGTCACCAAGAATATATTTATAAAATAAAACAGTCCTAACTTTGAGGAGTAGACATCTAATTAGAAACAGGCATATAAATAAATTAAAATACAAAGTGACAAGTAAATCAACTGGATTATATTTGACGTACATATGTATTACATGAAAGGGAAGTAATTAATTTTCTCTCATGTGATCAGGAAACGATCAGAAAGACACAGAAGTACTGGAACAAAATGAAGGTCAATCTGTTTCTTAAGACACTATTAATTGACATGTTGTTTACATAATACTAAAATAGTCAAAAATTTAAAACTTTAAGACATAGACTTTTAGACAGGCCCCACTCATATATAAGAAAGCTCTAAAAAGAATACAGTCAATAACCACACGAAAAATAAAATGTATATAATTACATAAAGCAAAGTGTTGCACTATTTTTCATCCCTACTATTCCAAGCCAATATCATTCCAAGGTGTGAAGGCCCGTCATGATAACATGCACTAAGAAAGTCAACACAGGAAAGTCCTGCAGAGTGTTATTCCACATGGCTTTGTGACTAATTATGTTTGTGGAATGAACTGAGCTGTGGTCATGGGTCACTTTCAGCCGGGCCAAGAGAATGTTTCCAGAGTGTAATTGTTCTGGGCATCAAGGCACTTTACAGCATGTTCCCAATGCCTTTTGATACTTTGTGGCCAGGAGACTGCTGAGAAAATATTATTCACCAGAATTAGACCAGACTAGTCAACCTCCTGGTTATTACATCTCCATGTCAACACAAGCCATGTCTGCAACCAAATTTACCAGATGTTTCTAATTTCTCTACCTTCTGAACTACAAGTTGAATTTTTTTTCTGACTTTGAAATATTTTAAACAAAGGACTTTCTGTGATGTCTCAGAAAAACTCACAAAATTAAAACCCTGGCTAATATCAGAATAAGAGTCCTGGCTCTCCTGCACTGCCACAGGATGGGATTTCTTGCTTCTCACTGCCTATGACATTTTCTCAATAGGGTTTTTACCAATAGGAGTCTCCTTCACTCTCTGGAGATTCCTATATGGCTAACATGTAGATAAACTTCACTAAATTCTGGAGTTAACTACACATCCTCTGTTGCTGTATTACCTAAAACAGACGCTATTTCAAATTAAGGCCTTAACATCTATACAAATCATCAACTCACATACCCTTTCAAAACAACCATTGCATTTCTAGAACATCATCCAAAGATTGTACACGTATTCACAATGAAGTTTTTGCAAAGATATTCATTACTACTTTGTCAAGACCTGGAATTTGGAAACAACCTAAGTCTTTATTAGTAGGAAACCAGTATATTTTGTTCTATGCCCACATAAGGAATAATATTGAGACCTTAAAATGATTAGACAGTTCTCTAAATATATAATAACATCAAAAATCTCCATAATAATTCTTGGGTAAAAAACAAGATGAAGAACTAGGTTGATATGTGTGGGTGTGTATGTGTATATAAATAAACAGTCAATACTTACATATATATTGTAAATTTTGTGTCATTTTGAATTTTAATTTGCTGCTATGTGCAAGTATTGTTTATTCAAAAATAAATAAATTTGGGAGAAATAAAGTAAAATAAAAATAAACAAAAAGTGAGATTTTGAGGAAAACACACAGTAAATTAATGAAAAGGGGGCAGGACGGAAGGAAGAAAAAAGGAAGCAGAAACCTAGATTCCAAAACCATGGATGGATCTGTCTCCTTTTTATTATAGTTATTATACTTTAAGTTCTGGAGTTACATGTGCAGAATATGCAGGTTTGTTACATAGGTATACACGTGCCATGGTGGTTTGCTGCACCCATCAACCTGTCATCTACATTAGGTATCTCTCCTAATGCCATCCCTCCCCCAGCTCCCACCCTCAGACAGGCCCAGTGTGTGATGCTCCCCGCCCCCTGTGATCTCATTGTTCAACTCCCACTTATGAGTGAAAACATGCAGTGTTTGGTTTTCTGTTCTTGTGTTAGTTTGCTGAGAATGATGGTTTCCAGCATCATCCATTTCCCTGCAAAGGACATGAAGTCATCCTTTTTTCAGGGTTGCATAGTATTCCATGGTGTATATGTGCCACATTTTCCTTACCCAGTCTAAAACTGATGGTCTTTTGGGTTGGTTCCAAGTCTTTGCTATTGTCAACAGTGCTGCAATGAACATACCTGTGCATGTGTCTTTATAGTAGAATGATTTATAATCCTTTGGGTATACACCCAGTAATGAGATTGCTGCGTCAAATGGTATTTCTAGTTCTAGATCCTTGAGGAATTGCCACACTGTCTTCCAAAATAGTTGAACTAATTTACACTCCCACCAGCAGTGTAAAATCATACCAATTTCTCCACATCCTCTCCAGCATCTGTTGTTTCCTTTTTAATGATCGCCATTCTAACTGGTGTGAGATGGTATCTCATTGTGATTTTGATTTGCATTTCTCTAATGACCAGTGATGGTAAGCTTTTTTTCGTATGTTTGTTGGCCGCATAAATGTCTTCTTTTGAGAAGAGTCTGTTCATATCCTTTGCCCACTTTTTGACGGGGTTGCTTTTTTCTTGTAAATGTGTTTAAGTTCTTTGTAGATTCTTAGCCCTTTGTCAGATGGATAGATTGAGAAAATTTTCTCTCATTCTGTAGGTTGCCTGTTCACTCTGATGATAGTTTCTTTTGCTGTGCAGAAGCTCTGTAGTTTAATTAGATCCCATTTGTCAATGTTGGCTTCTGTTGCCATTGCTTTTGGTGTTTTAGTCATGAAGTCTTTGCCCACGGCTATGTTCTGAATGGCACTGCCTAGGTTTTCTTCTGGGGTTTTTATAGTTTTAGGTCTTACGTTTAAGTCTTTAATCCATCTTGAGTTAATTTTTGTACAAGTTGTAAGGAAGGGGTCCAGTTTCAGTTTCTGGCATATGGCTAGCCAGTTTTCCCAACGCCATTTATTAAATAGGGAATCCTTTCCCCATTGCTTGTTTTTATCATGTTTGTCAAAGATCAGATGGTTGTAGATGTGTGGTGCTATTTCTGAGGCCTCTGTTCTGTTCCATTGGTGTATATATCTGTGTTGGTACCAGTACCAAGCTGTTTTGGTTGCTGTAGCCTTGTATTGTAGTTCAAAGTCAGGTAGCGTGATGCCTCCAGCTTTGTTCTTTTTGCTTAGGAATGTCTTAGCTATGTGGGCTCTTTTTTGGTTCCATATGAAATTTAAAGTAATTTTTTTCCAATTCTGTGAAGAAAGTCAATGGTAGCTTTACGGAGATAGCAAAGAATCTATAAATTACTTTGGGCAACGTGGCCATTTTCACAATATTGATTCTTCCTATCCATGAGCATGGAATGTTTTTCCATTTGTTTGTGTCCTCTCTTATTTCCTTGAGCAGTGGTTTGTAGTTCTCCTTGAAAAGGTCCTTCACATCCCTTGTAAGTTGGATTCCTAGGTATTTTATTATCTTTGTAGTAATTGTGAATGAGAGTTCACTCATGATTTGGCTTTCTGTTTGTCTGTTATTGGTGTATAGGAATGCTTGTGATTTCTGCACATTGATTTTGTATACTGAGACCGCTGAAGGTGCTTATCAGCTTAAGGAGATTTTGGGCTGAGAGGATGGGGTTTTCTAAATATACAATCATGTCATCTGCAAACAGGGACAATTGGACTTCCTCTTTTCCTATTTGAATACCGTTTTTTTCTTTCTATTGCCTGATTGCCCTAGCCAGAACTTCCAATACTATGTTGAATAGGAGTGGTGAGAGAGGGCAACCTTGTCTTATGCCGGTTTTCAAAGGGAATGCTTCCAGTTTTTGCCCATTTAGTATGATATTGGCTGTGGGTTTGTCATAAATAGCTCTATTTTGAGATACGTTCCATCAATACCTAGTTTATTGACAGTTCTTAGAATGAAGCGATGTTGAATATTGTCAAAGGCCTTTTCTGCATCTATTGAGATAGATGTTTTTGTCATTGGTTCTGTTTAGGTGATGGATTAAGTTTATTGATTTGTGTATGTTGAACCAGCCTTGCATCCCAGGGATGACACCAACTTCCTCATTGTGGATAAGCTTTTTGATGTGCTGCTTGATTTGGTTTGCCAGTATTTTATTGAGGATTTTCGCATCGATGTTCATCAGGGATATTGGCCTGAAATGTTCTTTTTCTGTTGTGTCTCTGCCAGGTTTTGCTATTAGGATAATGCTGGCCTCATAAAATCAGTCAGGGTGGATTCCCTCTTTTTCTATTGTTTGGAATAGTTTCTGAATGAGTGGTACCAGCTCCTCTTTTTACCTCTTGTAGAATTCAGCTGTGACTCCATCAGGTCCTGGACTTTTTTTGTTGGTAGGCTATTAATTACTGCCTCAATTTCAGAACTTGTTATTGGTCTATTTAGGATTCAACTTCTTCCTGGTTTAGACTTCGGAGGGTGTATGTGTCCAGGAATTTATCCATTTCTTCTAGATTTTCTAGTTTATTTGCATAGAGGTGTTTATAATATTCTCTGACGGTAGTTTGTATTTCTGTGAAATTGGTGGTGATAGCCCCTTTATCATTTTTTTATTGCATCTATTTGATTCTTCTCTCTTTTCTGCTTTATTAGTCTTGCTGGCATTCTATCTATTTTGTTGATCTTTTCAAAAAACCAACTCCTGTATTCATTGATTTTTTGAAGGATTTTTTGTGTCTCTATCTCCTTCAGTTCTGCTCTGATCTCAGTTATTTCTTGTCTTCTGCTAGCTTTTGAATTTGTTTGTTCTTGCTTCTCTGCTTCTTTTAATTGTGATGTTAGGGTGTCGATTTTAGATCTTTCCTGCTTTCTCTTGTGGGTATTTAGTGCTATAAATTTCCCTCTACACACTGCTTTAAATGTGTCCCAGAGATTCTGGTACGTTGTATCTTTGTTCTCATTGGTTTCAAAGAACATCTCTATTTCTGCCTTCATTTCATTATTTACCTAGTAGTCATTCAGGAGCAGGTTGTTCAATTTCCATGTAGTTGCACAGTTTTGAGTGAGTTTCTCAATCCTAAATTCTAATTTGATTGCACTGTGGTCTGAGAGACTGTTTGTTATGATTTCCATTCTTTTGCGTTTGCTGAGGAGTGTTTTACTTCCAATCACGTGGTCAATTTTAGAATAAGTGTGATGTGGTGCTGAGAAGAATGTATATTCTGTTCGTTTGGGATGGAGAGTTCTGTAGATGTCTATTAGTTCTGCTTGGTCCAGAGTTGAGTTCAAGTCCTGAATATCCTTGTTAATTTTCTGCCTCGTTGATCTGTCTAATATTGACAGTGGGGTGTTAAAGTCTCCCACTATTATTTTGTGGGAGTCTAAGTCTCTTTGTAGGTCCCTAAGAACTTGCTTTATGAGTCTGGGTGCTCCTGTATTGGGTGCACATATACTTGGGATAGTTAGCTCTTCTTGTTGAATTGATCCTTTACCATTATGTAATGCCCTTCTTTGTCTGTTTTGATCTTCGTTGGTTTAAAGTCTGTTTTATCAGAGACTAGGATTGCAACTCCTGCCTTTTCTTGGTTTCCATTTGCTTGTTAAATATTCCTCCTTCCCTTTATTTTGAGCCTATGTATGTCTTGCACATGAGATGGGTCTCCTGAATATAGCACACTAATGGGTCTTGACTCTATCCAATTTGCCAGTCTGTGTCTTTTAAATGTGGCATTTAGCCTATTTACATTTAAGGTTAATATTGTTATGTGTGAATCTGATCCTGTCATTATGATGCTAGCTGGTTACTTTGCCCGTTACTTGATGCAGTTTCTTCATAGTGTCGATGGTCTTTACAATTTGGTATGTTTTTGCAGTGGCTGGTACCGGTTGTTCCTTTCCATGTTTAGTGTTTCCTTCAGGAGCTCTTGTAAGGCAGGCCTGGTGGTGACAAAATCTCTCAGCATTTGCTTGTGGGTAAGGGATTTTATTTCTCCTTCACTTGTGAAGCTTAGTTTGGCTGGATATGAAATCCTGGGTTGAAAATTCTTTAAGAATGTTGAATACTGATCCCCACTCTCTTCTGGCTTGTAGGGTTTCTGCAGAGAGATCCACTGTTAGTCTGATGGGGTTTCCTTTTTGGGTAACCTGGCCTTTCTTTCTGGCTGCCCTTAACATTTTTTCCTTCATTTCCACCTTGGTGAATCTGAGAATTATGTGTCTTGGGGTTGCTCTTCTTGAGGAGTATCTTTGTGGTGTTCTCTGTATTTCCTGAATTTGAATGCTGGCCAGTCTTGCTAGGTTGGGGAAGGTCTCCATTCTCCCCGTCACTTTCAGTTACACCAATCAAACGTAGATTTGGTCTTTTCACATAGTTCCATATTTCTTGGAGGCTTTGTTTGTTTCTCTTTATTCTTTTTTCTCTAATCTTGTCTTCTCGCTTTATTTCATTGAGTTGATCTTCAATCTCTGATATCCTTTCTTCCACTTGATCGATTCGGCTATCGATACTTGTGCATGCTTCATGAAGTTCTCATACTGTTTTTCAGCTCCATCAGGTCATGTATGCTCTTCTCTAAACTGATTATTCTAGTTAGCAATTCATCTAACCTTTTTTCAAAGTTCTTAGCTTCCTTGCATTGGGTTAGAACATGCTCCTTTAACTCGGAGGAGTTTGTTATTACCCACCTTCTGAAGCCTACTTCTGTCAATTCATCAAACTCATTCTCCATTCAGTTTTGTTCCCTTGCTGGCGAGGAGTTGTGATCCTTTGGAGGAGAAGAGGCATTCTGGTTTTCGGAATTTTCAGCCTTTTTGCACTGGTTTCTCTCCATCTTCGTGGATTTATCTACCTTTGGTCTTTGATGTTGGTGACCTTCAGATGGGGCCTCTGAGTGGATGTCCTTTTTGTTGATGTTGATGCTATTCCTTTCTGTTTGTTAGTTTTCCTTCTTACATGCCCCTCTGCTGCAGGTCTGCTGGAGTGTGCTGGAGGTCCACTCCAGACCCTGTTTGCCTGGGTATCACCAGCAGAGGCTGCAGAACAGCAGAGATTGCTATCTGTTCCTTCCTCTGGAAGCTTTGTCCCAGAGGGCCATCGACCAGATGCCAGCCAGAGCTCTCCTGTAGGAGATGTCTGTCGGCCCCTACTGGGAGGTGTTTCCCAGTCAGGATACACAGAGGTCAGGGGCCCACTTGAGGAGCCACTCTGACCCTTATCAGAACTCGAATGCTGTGCTGGGAGATCCACTGCTTTCTTCAGAGCCGTCAGGCAGGGACGTTTAAGTCTGCTGAAGCTACACCCACAGATGCCCCTTCCCCCAGGTGCTCTGTCTCAGGGAGATGGGGGTTTTATCTATAAGTTCCTGACTGGGGCTACTGCCTTTTTTTCAGGAGGAATCTAGAGAGGCAGTCTGGCTGCAGCGGCCTTGCTGAGCTGTGGTGGGCTCCACCAAATTCAAACTTCCCAGTGGCTTTGTTTACACTGTGAGGGTAAAACCGCCTACTCAAGCCTCAGCAATGGTGGACACCCCTCCCCCTACCAAGCTCAAGTGTTCCAGGTCAACCACAGACTGCTGTGCTGGCAGCAAGAATTTCAAGCCAGTGGATCTTAGCTTGCTGGGCTCATGGGGGTGGGAACTGCTGAGCCAGACCACTTTGCTCCCTGGCTTCAGCCCCCTTTCCCAGGGAGTGAACGGTTCTGTCTCACTGGCATTCCAGGTGCCACTCGGGTATGAAAAAAAAAAAAAAAAACTCCTGCAGCTGCTCAGTGTCTGCCCAAAGGGCTCCCCAGTTTTGTGCTTGAAACCCAGGACCCTGGTGGCATAGGCACCAGAGGGAATCTCCTGGTCTGTGGGTTGTGAAGACTGTGGGGAAAAATGCAGTATCTGGGCCAGAGTGCACTGTTCCTCATGGCACAGCCCCTCACGGCTTCCCTTGGCTAGGGGAGGGAAAGCCCATGACCCCTTGCACCTCCCAGGTGAGGTGACACCCCACCCTGCTTCAGCTCACCCTCTGTGGGCTGCACCCACTGTCCAACCAGTCCCAATGAGATAAACCGGGTACCTCAGTTGGAAATTTAGAAATCACCCACCTTCTATGTCGATCTCGCTGGGAGCTGCAGACTGGAGCTGTTCCTGTTTGGCCATATGGTCAGCAGATCCAATTTACTGAATATTTTAAGCCCATTGTTGATACCTACTGCTCAGAAAAAAAAAAATCACTTCAAAATATTAGTGCTCATTTACAATGCTCCTAGTCAACTGAGAACTCTGATGGAGATGTAAAAAGAGATTACTGTTGTTTTCATGCCTGCTAACAAAACATTTATTTTGCAGCCCATGGATCAAGGAATAATTCTGATTTTCAAGTATTGATTTTAAGAAATACATTTCATAAGGCTATAGCTGCTGTATTTATGACATTTTCATGCTGTTTGGGTTGCTATAGCCTTGTAGGATATTTTGAAATTAAGTAGTGTGATGCCCCCAGCTTTGTTCTTTTTGCTCATAGTTGCTTTGGCTATTTGGAGTCTTCTGTGGTTCCATATAAATTTTAGGAATTTTTTTCTACTTCTGTGAAGAACATCTTAGGTGTTTTGACAAATATTACAATGAATCTGTAGATTGCTTTGGATAGTGTGAACATTTTAAAAATATTAAGTCTTCTAAGCCATAAGAAAGTGATACTTTCCATTTTATTGTGTGCGTCTTCTCTTCAATTTCTTTCATCAGTATTTTATAGTTTTGTATAAAGATCTTTCACTTCTTTGATTAAATTTATTCCTAGGTACTTTTTGTAGCTATTATAAAAGTGATTGCCTTCTTGATTTTTTTTTTCAGATTGTTTGCTATTGATGTGTAGAAGCACTACTAATATTTTTATGTTGGTTTTGTAACCTGCAATTTTGCTAAATTTGTCTATCAATTCTAACAGTGTTTTTGGTGGAGTGGTTAGGATTTCCTATATATAAGATCAAGTAGTGTGCAAACAGGGACTATTTAACTTCTCCTTTCCCAATTTGAATACCATTTTTTCTCTTTTTACTGATTGCTTTTGCTAGAAATTCTATTATTATGATGAGTAGAAGTGACAAGAGTGGACATCCTTGTCTTGTTCCTGATCTTGGAGAAAAAGCTTTCAATTTTTCACCATTGAGTATGATATTAGCTGTGGATCTGTCATACAAATATGGTCTTTATTTTGTTGAGGTATACTTCTTCTATATCTAATTTGCTGAGAGTTTTTATCATAAGCAGATGTTGAATTTTGTCAAATGCCTTTTCTGCATCTACTGAGATGATTGTTTGATTTTTGTCCTTCATTCCGTTAGTATGGTGTATCACATTTATTGATATGCACATTTGAATCACCCTTGCATCCCAAGGATAAATCTCCCTTGATCATAGTGAATAATCCTTTTAAATGCTGTTGAATTCAATTTGTTAGTATTTTGTTGATTTTCGCATTTCTGCTTCTCAGGGATACTGGCCTGTAGCTTTCGTTTTTGGTGCGTCCTTGTCTGGTTTTGATATCAGGGTAATGTTAGCTTCATAGAATGAGAATAGAAGTATTCCCGCCTCTTCAACTTTTTGGAATAGTTTGAGTAGAATTGGTGTTGGCTCTTATTTAAATCTTTTATAGATTCAGTAGTGAAGCCATCAGGTCCTGGGCTTTTCTTTGATGGGAGACTTTTTATTACTGTTTTAATCATGTTATACATTATTGGTCTAAACAGGATTTCTATTTTTTTCATGGTTCAATCTTGGTAGGTTCTATATGTCCAGGAATTTATCTATTTGTTAGTAGGTTTTACAATTTGTTGGCATATAGTTACCATAGTAGTCTCTAATAATCCCTTGTATTTCTGTGTTATCAGTTGTAACGTCTTCTTTTTGATCTCAGATTTTATGTGAGTCTTCTCTCTTTTTGCTTAGTCTAGCTAAAGATTTGTCAATTTTGTTTATCTTTTCAAAACACCAACTTTTGTTTCATTGATCTTTTTTAAGTCTCCATTTCATTTATTTTTGCTCTAATCTTTATTATTTATTTCCTTCTACTACTTTTATGTTTGGTTTGTTCTTACTTTTCTATTTGCTTGAGGTGCATCATTAGGTTGTTTATTCAGCCTTTCTACTTTTTGATATAGGTGTTTATTGCTAAGAACTCCTGTCTTAAGGATATTTGTCAGTAATATTCACTACTGTATGCTCAGCACCTAGAAAAATTTATGGCAAATAGGATACATTTTTAAAATTTTGTTTAGTTAAAATTTTAATTAGGATTTTGCCTATCTTAACAACATTATATTTCAACCAGTAAATAGCAGTTTCAAGCAAAAACAAAAACAAAACTCCCCTCCTAGAACTGCTTTTGCTGTATCCCATAGGTTTTGGTATGTTGTGTTTCCATTTTCATTTTTCTCTAGGAAATTTTTAATTTCTTTTTTTATTTCTTCATTGACCCATTCATTATTAGAAGTATGTTATTTAATTTTTATGAATTTATAGTTTCCAATATTACTTCCATTATTGATTTCCAGTTTACTCCACTGTAGTCAGAAAAAATACTGGATGTTATTTTGTTGTTTTTTGTTTTATTTTATTTTAACTTCTGGGATACATGTGCAAGATGTGCAGGTTTGTTACATAGGTAAACATGTGCCATGGTGGTTTACTACACCTATCCATCATCTAAATATCAAGACCCACATGCGTTAGCTATTTATCCTGATGCTCTCCCTTCCCCCACCCCTCCAACAGGCCCCAGTCTGTGTTGTTCCCTTCCTTGTGTCCATGTGTTCTCATTGTTCAGCTAATACTTATAAGTGAGAACATGCAGTGTTTGGTTTTCTGTTCTTTTGTTAGTTTGCTGAGGATAATGGCTTCCAGCTCCATCCAAGTCCCTGCAAAGGACATGATCTCATTCTTTTTTATGGCTGTTCTGTTTTTTTTTTTTTTAATTTGTTAAGAATTGTTTTGTGACATGCCGTGTGGTCTGTCTATCCTAAAAGATTTTCTGTGTGCTGTTGAGAAATATGTGTACTCAGCAGCTGTTGGATGGAATGTTTTGTAAATGTCTGCTGTTAGGTCCACTTGGTCTAGAGCACAATTTAACTCTGATTTTTTTGTTGGTGTTGATTTTCCCTCTGGACAATCTGTCCATTGTTGAAAGAGGATGTCAAAATCCCCTACTATTACTGTGTTGCAGTCAATCTCTCCTTTTAGGTCTACTAATATTTGTTTTATATATTTGTGTGCTCCAGTGTTGGGTGCATATATATTTATGATTGTTATATCCTCTTGCTGTGCTGACCCCTTCATTATTATATAATGGCCTTCTTTGTCTTTTTTATCATTCTTGACTAAAAGCCTATTTTATCTGATGTTAAGTATAACTCCTGCTGCTCTTTCTTGGTTTCCATTTGCATGGAATATCTTTTTCCATTCCTTCACTTTCCACCTGTGTGTGTCTTCATAGGTGAAGTGATCTTGTAGACAGCATGTAGTTGGGTCTTGTTTTTTTTTAATCTATTTAGTCACTCTATGTCTTTTAATTAGAGAATTTAATCAATTTACATTCAAATTTATTATTGAGAGGTAAAGGTTTACTATTGCCATTTTATTACATGTTTTCTGGTTGTTTTATAGATTCTTTCTTTCTCTTTTCCTCTTTTGCCATATTCCTTTGTGCTTAAGTGATTTTCAGTAATACATTTTGATTCTACACTATTTATTTTGGTATATCTATTATAGGTATTTGCTTCGTGGTTACCATGAGGCTTACAAAAAGCACATTATAACAGGTTATTTTAAACTGATAATGACTTACCTTTGATCACAAAGAAAAGTAACCAAAAAAAATCTCTGCACTTTAATACCATTCTCCCCCACATTTTGACTTACTGATGTTTCCGTTTATATCATTTTATGTTGCCTATCTCTTAGCCAATTGTTACAGTTATTGATTTTAATAATTTTGCCTTTTATTCTTTATACTTAAGACATAGGTGATTTAGTTACCCCAACTAAAGTATTAGAGTATTATAAATTTGTCCGTTTCTTTCTTTTGTAAGGTAATTGCTTTCTTTCATAGGCCAGGATGCATAGAATATATGAAAATGAGAAGACAACAATTTTAAGACTACAAAATTTTACCATCTTGAATCTTTTGAAAAAGCTACCAATCATCTCCACTTACAAAGCTTGAAAAGCAAAAATTTTACCTATATAATTTTTAGACAATCATATAATGGCTTTATAAGGCCACCAGGCTATTAAAGGAGAATGCAGAGTATTGTAGATGCTTCAAACCAATGAAAAGTATTCAACTTACACCTAAAACAGATAAATTATTTTCCCTTTACCCATAATTTATCTTCTAATTTTACCAGCAGCATTCTGTCAGCCCAGTACACTAAAACCACATTGGTAGGAAAATGTCAGTCATGTTTTCTTCTTACATTCTATGAGTTATTAACCAAGAGCACAGCTGGATGATTAACAACTTGTCTTAGTGCAAAATGTTCCAATTGCACCCTGACTGCCAGAATTTTTTTTCATTTTTTATTTATAATTTTCCTGGCAAGCATATTGTTAACTTTACCTCTCTGTAGTTAACTACCAAATGTGAACAATAAGTTATTGAACTTATCAGCTTTCCTATTCTTCCTATTCTTCTAAGCAAGTCTAGTTTCTGCTTAGAGGAAATATTCACTAGAAAGATTTTAACAAATGAAAGAGTAGAACAGAGCAAACAACATAAAATAGAGAAGACAGTCCTTTGAAAAATATTTTAAGATACCAAAATGTCTAATACTGATGAGAATGAAAAGGCATATGATACAAATAAAATTAAGTAAAAAGGGGAAGTAATTAGATATGTAAGTTTTTTTAATTATAAGCCAGTTTTTGGATCAGCTATATGCTAGTAAATTTTAAGATAGAAGATATGCATAAGTTCCTAGACTATAAAATTACAAGTTGACACAAACAGAAATACAGAATTTAAATAGAAGAAAACATACTAAAAAATGTAAATAGTAGTCAAAATAAATAAATATTCAAAATCTATAAAATGACAATTTTTTTCCTCTTCCTTTCCAAAACTAACACCTTTCATTAACTTTTTAAAAAAATTTCTTTCTGCATTGTGTAGGAACTTCAATGCTCTCAAATACAATTAGTAATGGTGAAATCCTTGTCTTCTTGCCCATCTGGAAAGGTAATGCATCTAAAGTTTCTCCATTAAGTATAATACTTGCCAAATGTTTTTAATAGATCACCTTTATCAGGTCCAGGAAGCATATTTCTTATAGGTTTCTGAATTTATAAATTTACAAATGTCTTCTAAACTTTATCAAATCCTTTTTTTCCATTTGTAATTAAAATTATCATATGTTTTTTCTCCTTAATTAATGTGGCAAATTACTATTATTGCTTTTTCGCATGCTAAAGCATCTTCACATTCCTAGGATAAACCCTATTTGATTATGATATATTCTTATTCTTATTTGTATTATTTATCAATTTATTATCAATTTTTTCAACATTATTACTTACGGAAATAATAATTTCAATTTAAATTCAATGAATTCACCCACCTAGAAAAGTATGGTACTAACAGCCTCTTAATACTAATAAGAGATTTCAGAAAGATTATCAAATAACAGATCAACTTCCTCTTCATTACCATCTCTCCCAAGTCATGAGTGGCATTGGAATCTGGCAAGAGGAAGTGGAATTGATGATTCATTTAGTTTGAGTTTCATGGAGTAGATCTAAAGTTCACAGTCACTCCCACATAGACTGAAGTGATTGCTAGCCTTCTCATAATAGGAATGACTTCCATGAATCCTGCTATAACCCACCGTGTTGACCCACCTGTCATGTAGACACAAAGGCATAGGCAGACTGTCTTACACTGGGGAAATATGTTCATACAGGAAGGGAAACAAGGTCTTAAATGTAGAAAACCAGAAATTAGTCTAAGGAAAATTCTTCCAGTCATCATATCTAAAAAACGCAAGCAATGAATCCAGCCTCACCTGTGCCTAGTCAAAAGAGAAGTAATCTGTCAGGAACACATGCAATAATGCAATTAATGCAGTTATTACATGAACACACATGTTCTTCTTTCTGAATTTTGTGAAATAGTATTTATCAGAATGTCCAGGTTTCTTGGACAAAAATCTGTAGCTGCACTACTAAGAGTATATCTGCTTGTGATACTATGTGTTCTCTGCATTCCAATTATCAGTAAGAAATTATTTTGATTAACTATACAAGAGAAAGACTGAATTACCTTCTGACTCTCCCTACATATAGAATATAACAAAAATTTCTACACTTGAATAGGTGATTAAGAAGTATATAGCAAGGTTGGGCCCGGTGGCTCACGCCTCTAATCCCAGCACTTTGGGAGACCCAGTCGGGTAAATTACCTGAGGACAGGAGTTCAAAACCAGCCTGGCCAACATGGTGAAACCCCGTCTCTACTAAAAATATAAAAATTAGCCAGGCGTGGTGGTGGGCACCTGTCATTCCAGCTACTCGGAAGGCTGAGGCAGGAGAATCGCAAGAATCCAGGTGGAGGTTGCAGTAAATAGAGATTGTGCCACTGCACTCCAGCATGGGCGACAGAGCAAGACTCTGTCTCAGAAAAAAAAAAAAAGTATGTAGCAACTTCCAGTCTCAGCTGTGACACATAAAGAACTTGAAAATTCTAATAGAAGTGCATTCTGCAAAATACTTGACCAGTATTCCTCAAAACTGCCAACGTCATCAAAAATAGAGTCTGAGAACAGAAAAAGACTTCAGGTAAAAACTAAGGAAATCTGAATAAACTATGAACCTTAGTTAATAATATTGTATCAATATTGATTCATTAACACAAAAAGTGACAAATGTACTATGTTAATAATAGGGCAATCTGGGTCTTAACTTCTCCGTAAATCTGAAACTTTTAAAAAGTGAAATCTATTTTTTAAAGTATGTAGCCAAAGAATATAAGAAAAAATATAGAGGGATATAAGATAGTATCAAATACTTTTTTCTAAATCATGTGATGTCTTTGGAATTTTTCAGCCAATCTGTAATTTGTTATAATTTTATTTCTCAGTTTAAATATTCACTTTCATCATTAATTCTATATAAGCAGTTTATATTCCATTTGTTTTAAAAGGGCTGCCAAAATTATATGAGCTTCAGACACCACCCTAGCTTTAAGTCATGGTTAGTTATTCGCAGTTGCTTTCTACTCACTGAATACTCCTCATGCCTCTATATTTTTGCATGTTGAAATTTTCTCTAATTTTCAAGGTAAGTCCATCTTGAATGACAGAGACAATTTATCCAAAAACAATGAACTCAGTATTGTAAAACCTGGATTGTCTTCCTAAATCAAGCCTTGCTCAGTACTAGCACCAACTTTACGGAGACACTTAACTTCTTCCTATGAAGAATCTCAGTTCTGCCACTTGTCAGTTCTATGGCCTTGGCTAGCTGTTTAACACATTAGTGCCTTAATTTGCTCATCTGTAAAATGGAGACAATAACACTGGGCAAGGATAGGGTTATCTTATGGCTGCACTGGGGCAGCTCTGTGCTTATCTCCATGGATGCCTGGAAGTCTGTTACTGACCCTTGGTCAAAACAAGAATGGGAAGTAATAGCTAGTGATTTAGAACATGTCATTTAAAGTTCAAAACTCCCCTGGAGGCACTCCATATTATCTTGTCTACATTATTTAGGATATATGGATTGATGGTTTGCATCTGGTTTAACTTGTTACACAGCTTGGCTGTAGCAAAGTGACCAGTAAAGGTGAAAAAGGCCCTTCAGTAAACCTGCATTTGAACTATGCTGAACTTAGACACCCCACACATATCTGAAAAGTGCATAATCCAAAGATGAAATGTCTCATGTGCAACTGAGAAAAGACCTTGACAGGTCTGCAGTGGGTGTTTTCAGACATCCTATGATTGCCTACACTTTCCTTCTCCTCATGTCCTATATTATTTGCAATCATTACAGCCTTACATGAGTGTACCCTGTGGAGTCTTGAGAGTTCTTTTATTTTGAGATCTTGTATAGCACCATCAAAAGGCCCTTGTAAGGATTAATTGAGCTAAGAAATGTAAAGCACTTAGCACACTGCCTTACCAGTAATAAGCGTTCCATAAATGACAGCCATGATTATTCATATTTTCCCTCTTTCCAATAAGGTCCAGCCCCCACCCCATTAATGACAACATTGAGATGGAATTAATTGCTTCCATGAACTATTATTATCTGTAGCAGTGGTTCTCAACAAAGAGCTATTTTGCCCCTCAGGGGACAATTGGCAATGTCTGAAGACATTTTTGGTTGTCACAACTGGGAGAAAGGTACCATTGACATCTGGTAATTACAGACCAAGAAAGCTGCTAAACACCACCCCAGGACAGCCTCTCACAACAAAAAATTATTTAGCGCAAAAAGTCAATAGTGCCAAGGTGGAGAACACTGGTCCAAGTCACTCTTATTGTTTATCTTAATTACCATCACATTCCTCAAGCACCAGGCATAGATCCCCGCAGGTGCGTGCATGTGTGCATGTGGGTGTGCTTGTGGGTGTGCTTGTATTCAGTAAAAGTCAAACCTATAAGATGGCCTGAAAATTTCTCCTGCCTAGCCAAAGAACTACCTCTCTTTATGGCAAGCTGACTGAAGAAGGGCCTCTTCCTTTTGCTGTTGCTGCTTACCACAAGTGTTAGCTACATGCAGGGAATCAAAGAATGAGAACTTTGTGCTACAATATCAGCTCTTCTGGAGGTTTGTGCGTCTTCCCAATTATATCATTGTCACGACTTTCTCAAATCAGGCGAGAAATGCTTGTCCACTCTCTGGTCTTTCTTTCATCCCTAGAATGAGATTGTGCATCCTCCACCAGAAACTCTCCCGAAGGCTGTAAGTGTTGGCAGACGATCTCATTTTATTTCTATCCAATGCCTGCAAAGTGAATCTAGCGCATAGGAAAACAACTGTGGCAACCACATACTCAGAAATTCTCCCTCACTCTTGCTCCTCACAGAAAACTACGTAAGACTATATTCCAATGACATTCTGGAGGTCATTTTTATTTTTTCCCAGAGTATGTTCATAACACTTTACACAACCCATACCCTAGGAGTATATCTGATATTTTCCTTTTAAGGTGACCAACTGCCCGAATTGGCCCAGGACTTTCTCAGGTTGAGTATTGATAATCCCATGTTCTCAGAAACCCCTCTGCCCCAGACAAACTATGATAGTCAGTCCCTCAACTCTTACTCAAGTGCTTCTTAGCATGTAAAACAGCTACATTTTAATAAATGTTGTGATAAAGCAAAATTCCACATATTGACTTCCATGTTTTATTGAACGTAATTACTACATTGGAGTGGTTCTCCAGGACATTCTTTCTCCCAGATCGACTACACTACTATTGCCTTTATATGGCCAGTGCTGTCAAAGCACAACACTGAGGTCACTCACACTAAGAAGCCACTTTCCACATTATTTACACAGTGGATAGGACAGAATCCAGAGCTTTACCTAAACAGCTTCTTCCCCAGAGCTTAGCTCCAAGACAAGCATCTTATTCAACATAAATAACAACTGAAACACTCTATCTACTGTCACAACTACTAGTAATCCAACCCATCACTCTAATTTATATTTCCAGTATCAAGTCCTTCAGATGTGTGTAATTCATCTTCATGTGACAGCAGAAAGAATTCATATTGCCTGCCATGGGCCTTCATTACTGAAAATATTACTACAAATATTTTAAATTATATTTCTATTATAATTGTAATTACATTATTACTGAAAATAAGCAGCCATCTGTTTTTATGGCAGTCTTTACTTGGATAGGTCCCATTTTTAAGCAATCTAGATTTTAATGGATTTTAGCTTTTAAGTCAAACATCTTCATTTATAACAGATTTATTTTCCAACTCTTCTACCTTCAAATGCCTTACAATAGCCCCACCCTTATCCCCATTTTTATTATATAAACATATAACAAATAATTGTGTTTCTTTTCTCTTGTTTCTCAGCAATCCTGTGAATTAGCTAGCTCAGTTATTGTTATTCTCATTTTAATTTTTATAGACGAGCAAACTTATTTGACATCAAAACAGAAAAAGATAAGTTCCCTTTGAGAATGTATAACTGTGTTATTGTATTTGCAGTCTAGAAACATACCTTAAATTCATAGTGTTTCATTCAATCCCTCTGAGTTATTTCAGTATCTCATTTGCTATGATAACATCATTAATAAAAACCATCCACATCACCAGCCACTGGCTGATCCAACTTCAAGTGCTGATACACCTCACACTGCACAACATACATCGGATAGTAAATGTTAAGAAAAATCACTGGTTTTCCAAGGGGGAAAAAAAAACACTAGAATTCATCACAAATGAAGATCGATTCACATTTAAGCAAATACCAAAATTATTCAGCAGTTGAATTCCTGTTAATATACTTTCCTTCATGCATTACCTAACACTGAAGTCAACATCTCTAATGTAAGATAATTTTTAAAAGTCTACTATATTAAATCACCAGTAGAATGCATTCATTAGATAAAGTTAACTGTAGTATTAACATAACTTGATACAAAATAGCAGTCTTTGTACAACATAAATGGTGAAAGGAACTGGATGAGTTTATACCAAAGGAAAGTCCTTAATTCTTTTGCCACAGCCAAGACTTTCTCCTTTCCTAATGAATGATTCGGATTTCTACACCCTACCCATTCTGTAGGTACACAGTAAATCAGTTGAACCATGTACTATATAGTTAACTCGGCCTATTCAGGTGATCATAAAGAAAAAAGGAAAAGCTTGTTTCTTGAGAAGTTCCATCCTTCTAAATTTACTTCCTCACTAATGAACAGAGGTCACCTATCTACTACAATACAGTAAACAGAAGTGATTTCATTTGTGCCATGAGAATGTGTCCTGCTTCAGCTGCTTACAAGCAAATAATAACACTAAATGTTTGTTTTGTCTAGACAACACATTAAATTCAAAACATGGCTTCAAATAAAATAAAACATGAAATATATAAGCATTTGTAACTAACTGGAAGAAGAAAGTTACTGTGACTTACCAAAGATTTAAGTTAGAGCATGTATCACTAATACTGAAAAATCATATTATAAATGTATGTTTTGAACTAGTCTTACCTAATTTTGAAGACTGTCAAGTTTTTTTTATTAATATCACTACCCTCCAACAATCTTAAAGTATATTTTGTCTGACATTAATACAGCTATGCCAAATTTCTTTTAGTTTGCATTTGATTATTATTTTTTATCTTTTTATGCTTAAACTTTCTGTATCCCTATGCCTCAGATATCTATTTTGTATGTAGAATATAGATAATTTCATTTTTGCTTTATTTTTCAATCTGCTAATCTCTATCTTTTAACTGAGGGAGTTTGATACATTCGTTTTCATTGAGATTATTCAAACTCCTGAAAGTTTTTTGAATATCTATATATTCTGAATTTTATATTAATTGTTAACTTTTGTGTGTATTACCTATGAATTTTGATTATTATAGTAGAAGGACATTTGTACTGATAAAATTGAGAGCCAGTATTCTACGATAATGTGACTAAATAAACTCTTGAGTCATTTCTAAGAAAATTACATAATTCCAAAACAAACATTCCAAATATATTTGTAATAGCTTCATGGGCAAAAGATGAGTTTTGCTTTGACTATGTTTTCCAACAATGGTTGGTTGGTTTGTGTTAGTTTTCCGATTGCATGATGAGGTCTAGCAGGTCACACGACTGAACTTCAGTATGCACTCAATTCTTCCTCATGTATTGATTAAAGACCATAAACCTCATGTGTCAAGACACTGTATCAGCTTTACCCATAAATTTATTGGGCAGGTAATAATAACAAAAGTTAATGCATATAGCACATACTGTATGCCAGGCATTGTTCTATGTGCTTTACATTTTTTGACTCATTAATACTCCCAGCAAGTCTGTTATGCTGCCACAATGGACACCAAATGACTCCCTGTTGCATTTAATTTTCTCCGTCATCTCATCTCTACCTCTAATTGTACTTTTTTCTCTCTCCATTGTCTTTTTTCTGGCTTTAGGAATGGGTGGTGTGGTAAAGCTGAAAGAGCAATGAGTTATGAAGTCTAAGAAATGCATTTCAAATCCAATTTCTAGTATCACTTGATGGCTTGGCAACCTTGAACAAGTTCCTATTCCCCTCATCTGCAGAACAACAATAAAAATATCTATTTCATAGAGTCATTATAAGAATAAAATAATGTGTGAAAAGAGGTGTTCAATGTGTTTTATTTCTCTCCTCATCATCACATTAATAGTGTAAAGTCAACAGAATTATATAAACTTGTCATAACAGCAACATAAACTTTTGATATATAATTTCAACAAGTCATTTTCAGAGATGTCATCTCTGGCTGTCACATTATCTAAAATAAAACACACACACACAATCACACTCAACACATAAAGCCACACACAACACGTGACACAGAAAATGTATAACCACATACAATCATACTCAACACCCATACAACATGCACATACAACACATACAACATACATAGATAATAAACAATCTTCTTCTATAAACACATATACTCACATACATAATTTCATAGGCCCAAAACGTATTTTATTTCCTTTATAGGATTTATTCAGTATCTGAAATTATACAATTGACTGACTGACTTATTAAATACCAATGCTCACAGGAACAGAAACATTAATGGAAAGGGAAAGTGACACAGCTAGCTAGTATGTGCTAAAAAAAAGGCTAAGTCTGACAGGATGTGATACATTATGGAAATTTGTCTCCTCCAAATTTCGTGTTGAAATGTAGTCCTCAATGTTGGAGGTGGGGCCTGGTGGGAAGTGTTTGGATCATGGGTGCAGATTCCTCATGAATGGTTTAACACCATCCCCTTGGTGATAAGTGAGTTCTCCCTCGAATAGTTCCTGTGAGTTCTGCTTGTTTAAAAGAGCATGGCACCTCCCCCTTCCCCACATCTCTTGCTTTTGCTATGAGATGTGCCTGCTCCCCCTTTGCCTTCCACCATGATTGTAAGCTTCCTGAGACCTCACCAGGAGCAGATGCTAGTGCCATGCTTCCTGTAAAGCCTACAGAACTGTCAGCCAAATAAACTTCTTTTCTTTATAAATTATCCCGTCAGGTATTCCTTTGTAGCAACGCAAAAACTGACTAACATGGAAAATTTCTACCAAGAAGTGGGGCATTGCTATAAAGATGGTAATGTGGAACTGGCTTTGGAACTGGGTAATAGGCAGAAGTTGGAAGAGTTTTGAGGTCTCAGAAAAAGATAGATAAGGGAAGTTTGGAACTTCTTAGAGAAGTGTTAAGTGATTCTGACCAAGTGTTGATAGAAATATAGACAGTGGAGGCTAGGCTGAGAAGGTCTCAGATGGAAGTAAGAAATTTATTGGGAACTGGAGTCAAGGTCACCCATGTTATGCCCTAGCAAAGAGTTTGGCAACACTGTGTTTATGTCCTGGGAATCTGTGGAAGTTTAAGCTTAAGAATGATGACTTGGGGTATCTGGCGGAAGTAATTTCTAAGTAACAAAGCATTCAGTGTGTGGCCTAGCTGCTTCTAATAGCCTAAAATCAGTTACAGGAGCAAAGAAGTGACTTATAGTTAGAACTTATATTTAAAAGGGAAGCAGATTGTAAAAGTTTGAAATATTTGTAGCCTGGCTATGTGGCAGAAAAATAAAAACCATTTTCAGGATTGGAATACAAGCATGTTATAAAGCAACCACTTGCTAGAAAGATTAACATGACTAAAATGGAGCCAAGAGCTAATAGCCAAGATAATGGGGAAAAGGCCTTGAAGATATTTCAGAGATCTTAGAGACAGCCCTTACCATCACAGGTCAAGAGGCCAAGGAATAAAGAATGTTTTCAGGGGCCAGGCCCAGGGCCCCATTGCCCTGCACAGCCTGAAGACACTGCTCCCCACATCCCAGTTGCTCCAGCTCCAGCTGCAGCTCAAAGGGCCCCACATACAGCTCAAGCCACTGCTCAAGAGGGTGCAAGCCTCTAAAATAGAAATTCCTAATCCTGCTCCACAGAAATGGTATCAGAATTAAATTAATGGATAGAAAATATGGGAAAACACTTAGAACAGAGACAAGTACTCAATATATATTTATAGAGACTTACTTACATTTAGAATTCTCTAAGACCAGTAGTACCGGATGATCATTATAGTACAAATTTTAGCCACTCAAAGTACTTGCTTTCAATTCAGTAGAACATTTAGTATTAGTTCCATAATTAAGTAAAATTTGTATCATTATAAATAGTTAAAATCCATTTACAGACATATATCAAGCTCATTATGTTCAGTTTTTTAAACTGTCTAATATTCTATAATGGCATACTTTATATACATATAAAACATTAAAAATAAAGAAGTTCATCTCTCATTGTTTATGTTTAAATACATATTTAAGTTCTGGAATCATATTTTAAAATATGTAAAAAGCTATAAATGGTAACATTTCTGCAAGTGGACTAGCAGGAGGATTTTTTACTTTTAATTTTAAGCCCTTATGTATTGTTTAAGGATTTTACAAACAGCATATATAACTCACATACTTAATCAAAATAGCATGTATTTTTCCAAAAATACAGTCATTATAAAGTGGAATATATCCTTTTTCTGATGAAGCATTTTTAATAGTAGGTATATTTAAAAAAATACATTTTGAAGGACAAGAGTTGACTTGTTAAGTCATTACATCATCTTCTGTTTGTAGGCTTTTATTATACTCACACAAACAAGCTTTATTTTGAATACTTTCATGAACTCACACCTCTCTCATCCGAAGCTAAGACTGTTCCAAAAGTTGAATTTTGCAAGCCAGTCAATTAGTAGCAAATGCAATGACTTCATATTTTGGGAAAGTTGACATATTTTTAAAAACTTTTTTTCCATATGCTACACTTGGCACTAACTTCAAAATGCTCCAGATTGTTCTGGATCATTTCATGGCAAAATTCATTTCTGTATTACCTCATTTTCTTCCCCAAAGGATGCCTTTTTTCTGTTCAAGTTAAGTAGACATTAATATCTCAGCAGGGAAAATATGACTCTTGTAATTTTTATAATACCCTTTTCAGTCCCAAATATTAGAGTGGTATTACAGTTACTGCTCTATAACTATACAAGATTCCTTTAAGTTTAGTTCAGTTCAACAAATATTTATTGATCATCTTATATGCCACAAACTAGGGTAATTTTTAGAGTTACAAAATTAGCTCAGTGTTTAAATGTTCTGCTGTTCAAATATTCATCAACCAAAGGGGAAAAAGATATCTAAAGAGAATTTCAATATGACCCCTGAGGGTCAAGAACCCACAACGGAGGGGAACCTCTCTGGTTTCTATTTTTCAAAATAAGCATGCACTCTTCCACTCAAATTTATATTTTTGTCTTATAGGTTCCTACTAGGTAAAGTCACTTTGTACCTTTTTTGTACCAGGCTTTCTATATAGCTGTAAATAATCAGACTCTGAATAATATTCTGTGAATAACAATAATTAGTGTCTGGAAAAAAATATGGCAAGGACATATACTTTGGGTCTCACAATATGTGAAACTAAATCCAGTATGAGAAACTTAGATCCTAAGAGAGCAAAAATGAATGCAGCTGACAGAAAGAAGAGTGGAGATAAAGAATGAGGAAAAGGAGAGAAAATGAGTCGGTTCTATAATTCTTCTCTCCTATAAGCAAAGACATCTGCAATCCAGGAAATGCCTTTAATCTCCCATGTAACTAAGGTCATAGCTTTGCTTTCACGTACCTATTTTGAACTATTTGTCTAAAGCAGTGGGACAATGTGCTCTTGACTGTTGCTGTGAAAACACACAACATGAGAAGAACTTAACCTTGAAATTGAGTCCATTTTTGAAGGAAAAAATGTCTTATGGGGGAATAGAAAGCAGTCTGCATGAACCTTACCTGGGAAAGCAGCCATAAAACACAGTGTTGGTTCAAAGGACAGTTGTGACTTAGAAAAAATATTTTACTATAAAAATATTATAGTAGGAAAAATTAAATGACACATAGTGCATGAGTGATGAGGCATGGAGTAAGGCACAGGTTTCTCTAAATACTGAATTAATTATTGTTTTTTGCATATCTTTTTCTTTACTAAAAGCAATTTCAAAGGTTAGATATCCTTTTTTTTTTTGAGGGAGAAATATTCAGATTCCTATAGTTTCTAAAGTCTCTGTGACCCAATTTTACCCTTTTGTTAGTTTTGAGATCACTATTAACAACAAATCAACCACGGCCTCAAAATAATTTTAATTACTTTCACTTATCATACTTAAAGAGATGACTGCTAGAGGACTAATTTCATTAAAAAAACTGAAAAGCCACATTTACAAAATGTGTGTTGCATGAATGCATTGCTTAAAAAATTATCAAAGATCTACTTTTTACTCAGTATTATATATGGGGCACAAAATGAAAGCACAGGTGGAATCTTCAAAGATTTTCTACAAAGAATTTTTTATGTCATGACTTAAAAGTGAAAGCATCTCCATCTAAAATTCTTTTCAGGTGAATATACTGTTGCATCTTACTGTAACATGTATTCTCTAACTTGAAAGTATGCCTTCAGGTTAAAGGAAATCTGAGCTAAAGATTCTATGAATGAACAAATAAATATAAATGGATAGAAATCATCACTCTATAATTGTTTACATATTTTCCTTTCACACTATGGATCTCTTTAAAAATACTTTCTAAACAAAGAAGAATGAAGCACCTTTATCTTCAACAAAGTTAACAGGAAATATGACCATATAGGAGATTTAGTTGTCAAAATATGCCCTCATAATGTAAATCTGAACAAAATGTTAAATCGAATATTTATATTTTTATATCTTTTTTTTTTTTTTGAGATGGAGTCTCGCTCTGTCACCCAGGCTGAAGTGCCATGGCACAATCTCAGCTCACTGAAACCTCCAGCTCCCAGGTTCAAGTGATTCTCCTGCCTCAGCCTCCTGAGTAGTTGGGATTACAGGTGTGCGCCACAAAGCCTGGCTAATTTTTTTGTATTTTTAGTAGAGATGGGGTTTCACCATGTTGGTCAGGCTGGTCTCGAGCTCCTGACCTCGTGATCCGCCCACCTCGGCCTCCCAAACTGCTGGGATTACAGGCATGAGTCACCACACCCAGCCTATATTTTTATTTCTAAACCAATGTAATTTACCAAATAGCATTACTTCATAAATATATTTTGCTAGCTAGCTTAGAGATCCTATCTTTGATTTGTTGAATGAGGTACAGACTATAGTTTATTGATTTTATGGATTCTGTTTTCTCATCTTCACAATGGGGACAATGGCTGCTTCTGTCAGGTAATATGATGACAGTGTTTTGTCATAAATTGTACAGTTTCTCAATGTTTAAACTCTTTCAGAGATAATGTTATTTCTCAAGTTTGTCAAATTAGGATAATAGAAGAGTTTTCCAGGTACAGTATTATCTATCTTTAGAGTACACGTATAGGTCTGGAGGAATATCATGCTTAATTGATTCAAGATTTTTGCAAGATAGATCCAAAGTGGTTAATAAGAAATACAACTTAATAAAAATAATGATATTTGAAAATAATTATTTAGACATCTGGAATTCAGAAGAAAGTGAGTAAAAAGGAAAAAATTAGTTTTATTATGTATAACCCTTTATATTAGCATGTTAACAAAGTTCCAAGATTAGCAGAGATCAGAATAGTGGAAAGAAATCTCCAACTCTTGCTGGGGAAGCTTTTGACTCAGCCCACACTTCAACTTGGCTCTCATTCTTCTTGTCCTCTACAGGGAAAATGAGATCTTTTTGCCCTTTTCTGTCTTTCTGCCATGCATGGTGACTTAGAATGTTAATGTAGCTTTTCCACAATGTGTGTAAGCAAACACTGTCTTTGTGGCCTCAGGAAAATATGACACCTTGTTTTATTATGTGGCTCTGTTATTGAATACTTGTGCATTAAATTTTAAAAATTCTTTTAAAAAATACTTAAAATTTTTGCATATTGCACTGTTTGTTAATACTGGTATTTGAACACTTTCTAAGATCTTGCATTTTAAGTTCTGCCTCTCTTTATCTACATATCCTTTTATTGCCTCACTATCAATAATGAAAAACTGATGTATTTATTCCATCACCAAGTACATTTATGTCTTTCATAGTTAACTCTGCATGAGATTTAAGTAGATGGGGCCAGACTACTTCAGTTAACTAATTTCCTACCATATTCTTGATATGTTTGAAAAAAAAAGATAAAAATATACTTGTAGGATAAACAGTGAATTTTGACTTCTCTCCCAAAGTACATAACCTAGATTAGAAAAATGTGGCTTCAATTACAATTGCTAATTATTGTAGCATTCTTTCCCTCTGCACCCAGGTACAGAGTCTTTTTCAAGTAATGTTCAAGGTAACAACTACTGCTCTTTAACTGTTGGCACAGGAATATAAATGTATTTGTATTCCCTAATATAGAAAGGTTTGTACAATTTTGAATTTATATTATCTATGCAGTTGTAAGAATCCTATAATTAGTAGTTCTCAGTTTAAGTGGACAAAATATTGAAATAAATATTTTACCTTTCCCTTGGTAATCATTGACACAGGCAAAGCACTTATATCCACCTGAATTATTTAGAAGTAATAAGCAGTTTTCCATAAGGCCAGACAAAGGCACTATGTTCCACTTTGCAAATTATGTAAAGTTCCAATCCCAGGAACTAGAGACTAGGCAGGAAAAAAATGCTGAATTTTTAAAATAAATAGCAGCTGCTATTATTTTGTTAGAATTATAAAATATATTTAATATATTGTTACCAATTACGTGCATGAGTGATCTGTAACTAAGGCTCATATGATCTTACAGGACAAAGTCCAAATACCTGAAAATAATCAAGGCCCTTTATAATCTGATCCCAACTTTTCTGCTTCATCTTTACTTTCTACCTTGCTTCCACCAAAATGTAAGTTAAATTATAGCCTGCAGTTCCTGCAGAACCGTACCCAGGCATGGTATGGCTTGTCACATTCCCAGACATTTGAAAGTCACTCCCCACCCCACTGCCTTCAGTGCCCTTCCCTTCTCTGCTTTACAATTCCTACATATTTGTTAAGACCCAGGTCAAAATCAGCTCTCTGAAGCCTTCTCTAAACTTGGACAAGCTCAAACATTTCACGCCTGTATTACTGGAGCACTTTGTACAGACCTACATTATACCGGGTAATGATAATCACTGGATAATCATATGACTATTAATCTCCCATAAACTAGATACATGGTCCTCAAAGACAGGAATTCATGGTGCTTTCATGTTTGTGTTTCCAGTTTCTTGAATAGTACTTACACAAAATAGAAGCTCAATAAAAACATTTTGAATGAATAAATGTTTGAATAAATCATACACTAACCTAAAGTAAATTTGAGTTATAACCAAGACCTCTTCTTAAGTCCACACTAATCTCCCTACTCCATTATCAAATGGTTTTTACTTTTTTTGCAGATCCACCAAAAGTGACAATCTTGCAACTTCTGTATTCACCCATCCCAATCCCTCCACTTTCTCCTCCTTCACCTAGAGGAAGTTATGAATATAAAACTGAGAGATTTAGGGTAAAAAGAATCATGCATCACAGAATAGACACGTTACAAGCATGATTATTTGTTTCTCCTTGCGAACCAATTATTTGTTTCTTCTTGCGAACCAATTATTGAATAATTTGTATTGAATAAATGAACTGGAATGTTCTGAGGGACCCAAAGTGCACTTATTGGGTCACAGCTGACCCGTTTTTAAGGGTATAAATAGCACCCTACAGCTGAGAAAATTCCTTATAAGAGTTACCTAACTTAAACTTGGAGAGCAACGAGCTGCTTGTAATTTATTATAAAAGAAGTTCTCATCTTTTGTTGGGATTCTCTCTCTTCCCTAAAGAATGTATACACTTTAATCATTGTAATAAGAGAAATCTTCCCTTCATTTACTCCTCCATGGCCAATTCCAACGGTGATTTCTTTTTTAATGCATATCTATTATATCTTAACTGTTTACATTAAGGATATGAGGCAGTTTAGACAACAACAAAAACGCATATAATAAAATATAATTAGAAATAGAAAATAGTTGTCATAGAATAGATAAGGTAAATACATAATTTGTAAGAGCAACATAGATGCCATCATTTAGCTTAAATTCTGACTTTAAGTTCCCTGAAAAACAAGGTAAAAATGAAGGCTAAAATGAGTCATCTAATTCTCACTGTTTAAAAAGGAGAAAAGCGGCCGGGCGCGGTGGCTCACGCCTGTAATCCCAGCACTTTGGGAGGCCGAGGCGGGAGGATCATGAGGTCAAGAGATCGAGACCATCATGGCTAACACGGTGAAACCCCGTCTCTACTAAAAATACAAAAAATTAGCCGGGCATGGTGGTGGGTGCCTGTGGTCCCAGCTACTCGGGAGGCTGAGGCAGCAGAATGGCGTGAACCCAGGAGGCGGAGCTTGCAGTGAGCAGAGATCACGCCACTGCACTCTAGCCTGGGCGACAGTGCGAGACTCCGTCTCAACAAAAAAAAAAAAAAAAGGAGAAATGCTGACATTGCAGATACTAAGAAAAGCTAAGATTTTTCTGACTCCAGATTTTAAAAGAAAATTCTCATTGTAACTTTGTATATGAAATATGAGATACTAAGTAATTAGTAAATTTTACCCTCAACAATTATGTTTATAATATTTGCTGGAAAATCTTATGACTATTATTTATTTTATTATATGATACAGGCTTATTATTAAAATTCAGTGAAGATGATTATACATCAGGTCAAGTTATTACGGTCTTTTTGGTCTAATTTCTTCCAAAGACCACTGTTAGAGTAGCTGGGAAAGTAGTTCTAAATTCTATGTGAGCTATGAACCCTTCTAAGAATCTTTTGAATACTACAGACCTCTCAGCACAAAAATGCACCGGCATACTAGCTTTGTATACAATTTCAGGAAGCTCATTCATCCCTTGAAGCCCATCCATATGTCCTAAAGGACCAGAGTATAGATGGATTACACAGTCTTTAAATTTGCAGGCTTAACACTTTTGATTTAAAAAAAATGAGGAGTAAATGATTCAAGGCTGTAGTTTTACTGAAATTCCTAAAATATTTCTTCTGAATGACTCTGTGAACCCACAGGGCAAAATTCCTTTTCTCATGCTAAAAGTATACTTAACTGCTGAGACAATGTCACTTTTGCTTTCCATAGGCATTTTTTACGGCTGGATGAAAGGGTATCCTTAGGTGCTGATTGCTAAACTGACAGGTCATAAAACTGACATCTCATTATCAAAGGCCACAGAGAGGCAGGGTGCAGAGGTACCTAAGGCAAAACAAAATTTTCTTCAAAGAGATACTCGAGATACTCAGCTCAAGACATGTTAGTGGAGTGTTTTGTATGTCCTTTACACTTTGTGTACATTATTTCATTTACAATAAATTAGTCATTATCACACTATAAATATGAAGCAACCAAGGCTCAGAGACATTAAATAACTTGCTCAACTTTTCATAGTTAGTAACAAAGCTAAATTTCAATCTGAGATATATAACTCCAAGCTCGTGGTCTTTCTAGCACACACTGTTTTGATTTGGGAAACTCTACATTCTAAGAGACTCCTTTCATAACTCTGCTCAGAAAGAAGGTAAATAAGATGAGGGTTTTTTGTTAAGATTTAAACATTGGCATTAGGTTAAGGGTATTCCCTGAATGGACTCTCCCATCTACTTCCCTAGTAGTTATGTAGTCATTTATTTAACCAGACTTGTCCAATATGCACTGGTTGTTTGTGGGTTTTAGAATATATAACTCCTCTTAAAGGGAGTGAAATATTTTATATATATATATATATCTCAGCAGTTAAAAATGCTGTTTGTATAAGTAATTACCATTATTGTAGTGAATTTTGCTTGTGGGCAAAAAGTCAGAAATATACACATAAAATATTTTAGGAATGTCAAAGATGAATGGAATGGGATAATAATAGGCTCTATCTAGGGAAGGTAGATGAGATATTCCAGAACCCACTAGGATGAAATAAAGCATCTAATCTCCCTTATTTGGGATGTACTTAAGTTCAAAATTGTCACACATAAAGTTTTTCTTTTCCTTTAAAATATCTAAAAGAATAACAACAGTAAAATGTTTTAAGCTAAAATATTTTAAGCTAAGAGTAAAGATAATAGAAAAAGTTATAAAAATGTAAAGCTAAAATCAAAATTAAAATATCACTGTAAAATGATCAAAAAATGAGAAAAAATAATAAAAACAGATTTGCCTGTTGGGTCCCAATATTTTTAATGAAAGGCAAATGATGTGTTCCATCTTAAAACATAGTTAATTATTTAAAAACCTCTAGTACAAATAAGTAATTAATATAGATATAGTTATAATTTATACATGTATTTATGCTGTTCAATTATTTTTCTGTAAAAAATATAAAAATTTTTTTAAAAGAATGATAGACCAAAGAATCCACCCATTCACGGAGAAAATAAAATAAGTCATATACAGGGGCAAAAAAATTAAGCTAGCCTCAGACATCACACCAACAATCTTTAGTACCAGAAAATAATAGAACAGTATCTACAAAATTCTTCTTGGAATATAATCCAAGTATTTTACAACATTTTAAAATTTGTAATTTGTAGAAATTTTGAATTTGTAGAAATTCAAAAACTCAGAGAATATAATATCTCTGAGTACTTACTGACAATGAAATTCAGCCATCAAATATGTGAATGAAAACAAGGAACTGAAGAATGAAGAAGCTGTGATAAAAAGACTGGTAGAGAAAATGAAATTCATTTAAATGTAAAGCCAAAACTAAACCGTGGGAATTACAGCTATAGAACTAAATGGTAATGTTATAAAAGCTGAAAAGTAAACATTATATTACATTGAGTAAAAAACGGAAACAAAGAAATGGGTGGATGAAGGAAGAGTACTCACTTCGTCACCTTTCACAGCAGAAATCAGTCAATAGGGTATAAAATTGAAACATAAACTTAAAACTTTTTACCATTTCTCATCTTTTTTAAATGCAGAAAGCTTTTAGGAAGACTATCTCTGATGAAGAAACATCTATCAGAAGCTTAAAAAAATCTTTCATTTTCCTTTTCTTTTGTTAAATTCCAGCAAATTTAAATTTATTACTTTTAATGTAAAATGTATATTTAGATTGCAATTTTTATGCACTGTTTCCAATCATCCATAGCTGTATTCCTATCTTTATAGATGCATTAAGCAATGTCTGGAAAGATGTTCTATATTATATTAATTTTTTTTCTGGGTGATTGGGCATGGAAGGAAGATACTTTGTTCTCTTGTACATTTCTTAATTGTTTAAATGTTGATAAAGAGGGTTATTATTTCTATGAAAAATAATAATTCTACAACATTCTACTTAAAATCATGGAAGTATCACAAAAGAGGGTAGTAGGTAGATAATCTTGAAAATAATAAATACTTGCGGTATGTTATGCATTCTTTTTTATATGGAAAGATTGTGCAGTAATTTTAGAAGAAAAATTAAATTTAAAAAGTGAAATAAAATTGTATTTCTTCTATCACTTAAAGCTGTAAGCTGACATCTCAAGTTAACTTTCCTAACTCAAACATCCTTTAAACAGAATTCAAAAATCAGATTATAGATAGAAAATAGTATTATAATATAAACTTTATTTTTAGTAAAAGTTATTTGAAAAATAGCCCTTTATTATTGTGTCATTAGATAATTAAATTAGACAATATAAATTATTTACTTTCAGATTGTTTCTTAGAAAGCATGTTTGTTGAAATTCAATAAAATAAAGAAGGTATTATGTAATAATTTCCTGCTGTTGTTGAATATTTTTCCATATCCATTAAACTTACAACTTGAATAAATGACTACTCAACAATTAATATTTCTAACAACTTAAACTGTTCATTTTAATAAGCTAAACAACTCACATGCTAACTTTTGTCAGGGCAGCAATAAATAAAAGGTGATATACAGCTCAGTGTTTCTATGTTGAAGCTAAAGAATTCCTCTTTAAGACAATTAAAAATATTGAGGTGGAAGGATCACCCGAGCCCGGGGAGGTCAAGGCTGCAATGAGCCATGATCATGCCGCTACACTCCAGCCTGGGTGACAGAGTAAGACCTTGTCTCAAAAAATAAAATAAAATAAAAATTAATTTTTAAAATAAAGATTTTTTAAAGACAAAAGTAAATGAAATTATAGCAAGTGTTTATTCAAGTAGTTAAAGATCAAGATATTAAAATCCCACCTTTGTCATATAGTTAATTCTATTTATGGAAGTTTTTCTAATTTCTATTTATAGGTGATTATAAGTCATATAGAAAAAAGTTTCTGGTTCTTGTATAATTATCTTCTATTCAGCTGTTACGCACGTCCATATAAGAGACCACCTGAGCAGGCTTAGTGTGAGCAACAAGGCTATTTATTCACCTGGGTGCAAGTGGGCTGAGTCTGGGAAAAGAGTCAGCAAAGGGTGGTGGGATTATCATTGGTTCTTATAGGTTTGGGATAGGTGGTGGAGTCAGGAGCAATTTTTTCAATTTTTTGCAGGTAGGGGATGGATGTTACAAAGTACATTCTCAAAGACAGGGAGGATGTTACAAAGAACATTCACAAGGGTGGGGAGAGTGTATTGTCACAGGGCAGGGAGGATGTTACATAGTACATTCACAAGGGCAGGGAGGGTGTATTGTCACAAGGACAGGGAGGAATGTTACAAAGTACATTCACAAGGAATATCACAAAGTATATTATCACAAGGGTAGGGAATGTCACCATGGCTTGACCATGGTGAGGCCAGCTCAGAGGACCTTACATCAGCCATTTAACCAAATTCTCTTGCTACAAACAATTTGTACATTTTTACTAACATAAGTATGTCACAGGTTTCTGTATTACAGTAGTTTTTGCTTAGGCTGACATAACGAAATACCACAGAATGGGTGGCTTAAATAACAGAAATTTTCTTTCTCACAGTTCTAAAGGCTGTAAGTCCAAGATGACGGTGCCAGATGCATTGGTCTCTCCTGAGGCCTCTGTCTTTGGCTTGCAGGATAGCCACCTTCTCACTGTGTTCTCACAAGTTCTTTCCTTTGTGTGCACTCTTCACTGGTGTTTCCTCCTCATTTTATAATGGCATCAGCCACACCAGATTAGGATTTCACCTTTAATGTCCCTATTTAATTTTAATTACCACTTTAACGACCCCATCTCTAAATACAGTAAACTTGGGTGTCAAGGCTTCAACGTATGAATTAAGTAGGACATAATTCAGTCCATAATAGGTTCTAAAAATACTAAGATAATATAGACAAGAAAAGAAAATTATTTTATGTTTCCTTTTCCATTATTTTAGGTGTTATTTCATTTGTATTAGTGTTTTTTATTTTTATTTTTATGGATATATAATAGTTGCACAGTATTTATGGGGTACATGTGAGTTTTTAATAATAAGCATACAATGTGTAATGATCAAATCAGGATATTTATTATATATATCACCTCAAACATTTGTTATTTTTTGTGTTAGGAACGTTCTAATTCCACTTTCCTAGTTATTTTGAAACATATAATAAATTATTGGTAACTATCGTTGCCCTATTGCACTACCAAACACTATAACCTATTCCTTCTAACTATATTTTTGTACTCATTAACTAAACACTCTTTATCCAACCCTCCCCCCATTCACCTTTCCTATCCTCTGGTAACCATCATTCTACTCTTTATTTCCATGAGATCATTTTTTTAGCTCCCACGTATGAGTGAGAACATGCAATATTTTTCTTGCCATACCTGGCTTATTTTTTTTAACATAATGCTCTCCATTTCCATTCATGTTTTTGCAAATGACAGGATTTTATTATTTATATGGCTGAATAATATTCCATTGTATATATCTACCATGTTTTCTTTATCCCTTCATCCACTGACGGGCACTTAGATTGATTTTATATCTCGGCTACTGTGAATAGTGCTATAATAAACATGAGAGTTCAGATACCTCTTTGATACCTATTTCCTTTCTTTTGGATGTATACTCAGCAGTAGGATTGCTGGATCATAGGGTAGTTCTATTTTTAATTTTTTTAGAAACCTCCATACTATTTTCTGTAATGGCTATACTAATTTATATTCTCACTAATAGTGTATAAGGATTCCCATTTCTCCACATCCTCAGCAGAATCTGTCATCTTCCGTCTTTTTGATAAAAGCCATTTTAACTAGGATGAGATAATATCTGAATGTAGTTTTGATGTGCACTTCTCTGATGATTAGTGATGATGAGCACTTTTTAATATACCTGTTGGCCATATGTCTTCTTTTGAGATAGGCCTACGCAGATCTTTCCCTCATTTTATAATCAGGTATTTTTTTGCTATTGAATTGTTTGAGCTTCTTATATATTCTGGTTATTAATCTCTTTTCAGAGGGATAGTTTGCAAATATTTTCTCCCATTCTGAGAGTTGTCTCTTCAATTTGTTGATTGTTTCCTTTGCTGTGGAGTATCCTTGTAGCTTGATGTGATCCCATTTGTCCATTTTTGCTTTTGTTGCCTGTGCTTTTGAGGTCTTACTCAAGAAATCGTTGCATAAACCAATGTTCTGTATTTTAAGGAACTTTCAAAATCATGTTGAATAATATTGAGTACTAATCATTTCCCTATTCTTTATCATTATAATGGAAATGTCTAAATTCATATTAAACATCCATCATTTAGGATAATATTTGCTATTTATTTCTGATAATCTTTTTTAAGCAGCATTCTAGTATTCATATTTTCTTTAGACTTTTTATTAATAGCATTTTTTACTCAAGGCTTTTCAGTGTCTATTCATATATTGTTTTCTCCTTTAATTGATAAATATAATGAACTAAGTTCACAGATTTCTTATATTGAACTAACCTCACCAATCAGGCAAGAGAAAGAAAGAAAAGGCATCCCAATAAGAAAAGAAGGAGTTAGACTGATGATATGATTCTATACTCAGAAAACTCTACAGACCCTGCCACAAGATTCCTAGAACTGATAAATGACTTCAGCAAAGTTTGAGAATGCCAAATCAATGTACAAAACTCAACAGTATTTTTATACACCAATAACATTCTAGCTGAGAGCCAAATCAAGAATACAATCCTATTTATAAAAGACACGTACAAAAAAACCTAGGAACACATCTAACAAATGGGGTGAAAGATCACTACAAAGAAAACTACAAAACACTGCTGAAAGAAACCAGAGGCAGCACAAATAAATGGGAAAATATTCCATGCTCATGGATTGAGAAGAATCAATATCATTAAAATTGCCATACTCCACAAAGCAATGTACAGATTCAATGCTATTCCTATCAAATTACCAATGCCATTTTTCACAGAATTAGAAAAAAACATCCAAAAATTCATACAGAATCGAAAAAAAAACCAGCCTGAATAGCCAAATCAATCCTAAGCAAAAGAACAAAGCCAGAGGCATCACATTACCTGACTTCAAACTAACCAAAGGTTGTGGTAACCAAAACAGCATGGTACAGGTACAAAACCAGACACAGAGACCAATGGAACAGAATAGAAAACTCAGAAATAAAGCTGCACAATAAGTACCAGGTAGACAAAAATAAGTTTATTCATCTGTTCTCATGATGCTAATAAAGACATACCTGAGACTGGGTAATTTATAAAGGAAGAGATTTAACTGACTCACAGTTCCACATGGCTGGGGAGGCCTCACAATCATGGCAGAAGGTGAATGAGGAGCAACTCATGTCTTACATGGTGGCAGGCAAGAGAGCTTGTGCAGGGGAACTCCCATTTATAAAATAATCAGATCCCATGAGATTTATTCACTACCATAAGAACAGTATGGAGGAAACTGTCCCTATGTTTCAATTATCTCCACCTGGCCCTGCCCTTGACATGTGGGGATTATCATAATTCAAGGTGAGATTTGGGTGGGGACACAGCCAAACTTATATCAATAAGCAATATCAATAAGAAAAAGACCCCCTAATCAATAAATGGTGCAGGAATAACTGGCTACCCATATGCAGAAGAATGAAACTGGACCCCTGCCTATCACCATATACAAAAATTAACTCAAGATGAATTAAAGACTTAAATGTAAGATCTAAAACTATAAAAATCCTAGGGAAAGAAAAGCTAGGAAATACCCTTCTTGATATTGGCATTGGCAAATAATTTATGACTAAGTCCCCAAAAGCAACTGCAACAAAAACAAAAATTGGTAAGTGGGACCTAATTAAACTAAAGAGCTTGTGCACAGCAAAAGAAATTATCAAGAAATTAAACAGACAGCTTACAGAATGGGAGAAAATATTTGCAAACTGTAAGTCTGACAAAGGTCTAATACTCCAGAATCTGTAAGGAACTTAACAAGCAAAAAACAAATAACCCCATTAAAAAGTAGGCAAAGGATATGAACACATACTTCTCAAAAGAAGACATACAAGTGGCCAACAAACATATGAAAAAAATGCTCATCATCACGAACTATCAGAGAAATGCAAACCAAAACCATAATGAGATACCATTTCACGCCAGTCAGAATGGCTTTTGTTAAAAAGTCAAAAAAATAACAAATGTTGGTGAGGCTGTGGAGAAAAGGGGATATTAATACACTGCTGGTGGGAATGTAAATTAGTTCAGCCACTGTGGCGAGGAGTTTGGAGATTTCTCAGCAGAAAAACTGTTTGACTCAGCAATTCCATTACTGAGTATATACCCAAAGGAATACAGATCATTCCACCAAAAGGATACATGCACCCATATGTTCATTGCAGCGTTATTCACAATAGCAAAAACATGGAATCAACCTAGGTGCCCATCAATGGTGGACTGGATCAAGAAAATATGGTACATATACATCATGGAATATTATACAGTCATAAAAAAGAATGAAATCATGTCCTTTGCAGCAACATTGATGCTGCTACATGCCATTATCCTAAGTAAACTAATGCAGAATCAGAAAACCAAATACCAAATGTTCTCATTTACAAGTGGAAGGTAAATATTGGATACACATGGACAAAAAGATGGGAACAATAGACAGTGGAGCCTACTAGTGATAGAGAGAGGAATGGGAGCAAGGGCTGAAAACTACCTATTGGGTACTATGCTCAATACCAGGATGACAAGTTCGGTTATGCCCTAAACCTCAGCATTATATAATATACCTCTGTAACAATCCTGCACATGTACCCCCTGATTCTAAAATAAAACTTTAAAAAGGGAAAAAAAGAAATAGCCACGCATTCCTGGAATAAGTTCTACTTATTCATGATGTGTTATTCTTTGGAGGCATTATTGTATTCTGTTTGCTAATATTTTACTTAGAATTTTTGCATCCAAGAAGATTAAAATTTTATATAAACTTTGACTCAACAACTCCACTTCTGGGACTCTAGCCTATAAACAAAGTTGCAACAGGTTAAGATGTTTATGCTCGAAGATATTAATGCAGTGCAGTTTACAATGGCAAAAAAAAGTTGTTGTTCTATAGAAGCCAATTTTTAAACTGCAGCTTCAAACTAGAGGGACAGTATTCTCAAAGTTTTATATACTAGTAATCTTATAGAAAGATGGGGTGCAATGGTATAATCTTGGCCCACTGCAATCTCTGCCTCCCAGGCTCAAGCCAGCCTCCCAACTCAGCCTCCCAAGTAGTTGGGACTACAGGCACATGCCATCACATCTGCCTAATTTTTGTATTTTTTGTAGGGACAGGGTCTCACTATGTTGCCCAGGCTAGTCTCAAGCTCCTGAGCTCAAGCAATCTGCCCACCTCAGCCTCCCAAAATGCTAGAATTACAGGCATAAGCCACTAAGCCCAGCCTGTTAGAGCATCTAAATGTGTAACCAAAAATTCCATATGTACACGTTCAACCTGTGCCAACTTCTGTTCTAGGCATAAGAACACAGCAATAAAAATGGCTCTCCTGGAGGACGATAAGATAAAGTAATTACTGCTATATGAAAATAAAGAGTGACAAGGCAGGGAGTGCTAGAGGGAGCATTGTCAACTAGGAGGGGTGATCAAGAAAGCCTTCTTTAAGGAGGTGAACTTTAAACGGAAAACTAAATGATGGAAAGGAGACAGGAAGGTAAAGATCCACCTTCCAGGCAGAGGGAACAGACACTATAATAGTCCTGGGGTGGAAACAAACTAGAAGCAGATAGAGTTCTGCATGACTGGCATGCAGTGTGATAGGCAAAGAGCCTTGAGGGATGAGGTTGGATAAGTGGGCAAGGACCAGGCTGAGCACGTACTTGCAAGCCAAGATAAATGGCGGGATTTTGTACTAACTACAGTAAACAGGCATTACAGGCTTTCAAAGCAGAAGTGTGACATTGTGTGATTTGATTTTAAAAGGTCATCATTGTACAAAAAATAGATTGCAGTCATATAGGGTTTAAGTGGGAGCAAAATAAAATCAAGAATTAGGAGCCTAATGTATTCACAAACTATAAAGGAATATGCTCCCTTTGTTTTTCTAACATTAAGTAATAGTAATGCTGATCAGAGACAAGTGATTCAGTCCTCTGCTTGGCATATTTCCTCTCTTCCATTCATTCACTCTCATTTATTCATTCTGCAAAGATTTTCTAAGCACATTTTATGTTCTAGGCACTGATACTAATCAAGAGAACAAGATGGTTTAGGCAGTTCTCCTGATCTCAGAAAATGCTAATGGAAGAGCCACTGAAAGGTTCCCAACATTCTATCGCAAGCAAGCTATATTGAATAGTTATGATCAAATATTGTAAATCAGGTATCACCCGGTTCTAATGTTCTATTAGTCTGTTATAGTTCTATGTAAATTTTTAGGAGTTTTTTTTGATAGCCAATTTTATTTTTGGAATCAAAATTAGTAACAAGTCATCTATCAAGGGAAGATACAAGTTATGTTTAACACTCTATATAAAGTAAGCCCTTCGCTGTAGCTAATAGTACACTTTCTTACAGAAAATTTTATGTTATGTGACAGTAGACAATAAGTCTCTATCAGTCAGCACTTCAGCAATATCCAGCATATGATTGATGGCCATAATTCTATAAATTCCTATGACCCTTTTAGCAGCAAAGCTTAAGTTACATTACTGGGAAGCAATGTTCAGACAAAAATACAGAAGAACAATTATAAGATACATTTGATTCATCCTACCAAAAACAATTTTGAATGAAATCATCATAAACAAATGGCAAAAATTTTAGGAGTTTTTTTCTAAGATCTTTTTTACCTTCTTTCTCAGACAATTTATCTGCTCCAGTGACTTTAGAATGCCTGAATCCATGCTGTCAGTGCAATCTTTAGTGTAGAATCACTCCATAAATTTTAGATTGGAATAAAGCAATTTGGTCTTTCAACCATATGTATAATCTGCTGGAAATCTGTAAAGGAGTTGTGACATTATTATTTATTCCTATTGTATTCACAAGAGACAAAAAATAAGATTAGTTACAGTTCCTAATTCCCACATCTCATCACATAACATGGTTTCTCTCATTAATTGGATCATTAATGGAAACAAATGCTATTCCAATATAAACTGAAGATCACTGCAATGGACAATGTTAACTTCTTTTGACCTTCTAGCATTAAGGAGTCTGTAGTAAATCTAAACATATCCAAAAACTGGACAGAAGATACTACTGCATCTAGAAGCTACATTCCACCAACATATTTTCTCTTTTGCTAAATTTCATGAAACCTGGAAACACTGTGAAGCATTTTGTGAAAACATATTGGTCAATGGACACATTGGTTTCTATCATTCTAATGAACAAAATGACTGAGCCCTAGAACAGATTCAAGTTCTTTTTGGCCTCCTAGATCTCTAGGAACTGCCCCAAATCTAGCAAGTCCAACCTAAAATATGATCAAAATAGAGCAGAAGTAGGCCCCCTGAGGCTGCCTGTGTGTTGAACTGTAGACTCACCATCTTAGCAACCCCAATCCCCTGGAGCTCACCCGCACAAATCACAACAGCATATGCCCAGATGGTTTGGTCCTTCCAGCAAAGATATACATAGTCACAGCAGAACATACCTACATGGTTGATCTGACTTGAAAGTCATGAACAGTGTTTGTAAATACAAAAAGAGGTCTAATAAATCTGTCAAGATGATTGAAATCTTTACCAAAATGTCTTTATCAAAAGAGTAAAGGTAAACTTGACTAGGCATACTCCCTAATAGAGAGAAAGTCCCCAAAAGAATGGCACAGAAGACAAGTGAATATCAATATGAATCATATGAAATATGGTTGCTGCTGCCTAACAAGGCTTATTAGGGTTGAGATGGAGTAAGGAAGGAAATTAGGTTATGAGATAAAGGCAACAAATAGAGAAAAGCTAGGCATAAAAAGTTTGGATTAAGAAGATATCCAAATATAATGGCTGCTGTCAAAGATCATAGGAACATGTGGTATGGACCATGCTCACCTATGTTCCAAAGTTGTTAAAAGATATTAGTAATTAGCTCCCAACTGCAATCTTCACTTTACAGTCTCACTAAACACAAGAAAATAAAAGATCAAAAGTAAGGATAGAGGTAGCAAGTACTTAAAAGCCATTTCCCCAATTTATTCAGCAAATTGAGCAATTTATAACACTTAATAAGGCATCCATAATTTATTTCTGGAATTTGCTAAACTTGAATTATTTACATGTTCTGAGACTGTCACATTGGAGTGAGATGCTAAAAATACTAATAGAAGCTAATTTCTTAAAATAATAAAGTTTTCCTTTTGGTCATCGGGTTTGTTTAGTTCAAATGCGAGTTTATTAAAGTTGGCTTAAAAGGTAAGTCATTAGTCAGGGAAACTTGTGATTTTTAATTTTGAAAGATTTTTTTAAACTACTTATTTTTGAAATGTATCCAAAGCAATAACACTACTATGAAAGTAACAAATGCTCTGAGACCCCAAATTTGGCTGGGTCTTGTAACACGGCATTTGAGGTTTAGATCTGAAATGTAAGTAGGATGGCAAGCTGCATTCTACTCCTGTATTCCACACACAACATCTGACAGATATGTTATATAGGGAATTCAGTTTAATGTTTGAGCTGCACATGCTCTTAGGCTGTATGGTAGTAGGAATTACATAAACCATCTCTGACTCGTGGCTAAGTCTCCTCCGATGATGACAAACTTAAAATGAGAAACCACTGCTCTCATTAAATAAAATGTTGATTGCTTTGGATCACAAAAGTGCAGAACTAGGGTAAACAAAGTAACAGTTGAACAAAATAGCAATCTAGTGTATCAGAAGAGACGATGTGCAAAGTGTAATTACTCTGGATTGTCTTTTACCAATAGAAACTAATAAAAGTGCTTCCTTCTATCCCATCTAATGTATTCAACATACTGTCCTCAGAGGGCATCCACCAGATTTCTCCTTCTATTAGAAGGAAGTCATTCCTTCTAAAAAGATGGATTTATAAAGTCCTTTTAGGTATACTTACATACTGTCTTTTACTTATTTCTGAAATGTAAAAAGAAAAAGGTTAGAACTTGCTTCAAAAAAGATTACATCAAATTTAGCTCACTCTACATACTAAAATTATTTGATTTTTTGTGGTTGATGTGATTACTTATTGGCCCTTAGTTCTTTCCTTTGGAATGGATATGTTTTCCTTACACTAACTGTGCATCTCAATATTATTAAGTTTGACATCATATTGAAATGGTGTTTCTATTAGGGAACTAGTCTATATAAGTTATTAATGTTCAGTTGAGATATTAGTTTGTCCTTTATTAAAACATTTTGCCATGGTAATACATGATAATATTCCTTTATTCTCACTATTTTTAAAAATAAAACAATTTGAGCAATGTTAATATTGGCATATACAAATGCATTTTTACATTTATGTATCAAGTTATAAAATATCTGAGAAGTTTAGACATTGGGCTTAACTCAACTGCTCAAAATTCCACATAAACCTAGGAAGTAAAATTTGGGGATGTGAATAACTGCCAATGCAATCCCTAGAATGAGTACCTTTACAATGTTGTTAATAGATTTTGGACTCAACCAGAGCTGGAAATATCTACAACACTCAGGAACTACTTCCTAAAAGATGTCATACTGACTTTGACCTTATCCTCTATAGAAATAGTTATGCTCTCCTCCACTCCTGATTATCCTAGTCTTTCACAATCATATCAAATGATTATCTGTCCCTTTTCTTTAACTCATAAAATAAAATCAGAGTTTACATGTCCTTACCCCTGGAAGTAAAGAACGTTCCTTTCTTCTTCCTTTAACTTTATAGGACAAATATACTTCCACATGCACCTATCTAAAGAAGCAAATCATCTTACTTTATCACCAAGAAAAATGCTTTCCTTCATCCCATTACTCCCAGGCTGTAAAAAGCTTAGTCCCAGCCTTGTAGCAGGGAGGAGGTAGGGAAGATGGGAAAAAATAGAAACAGGGCAAGAATTCATTGCAGTGTTAACAGATGTGATAGGCACAGTAAATCATACTCATCAAATGGCCCAAGGTGCAGGTAACCATTTGAAGGACCATCTATTTTCTAACCTTGCCTAGAAGCCTTGTTAAGGATTTAGTCTAGTGATGAATTATCCAATCACCTGGGCAGACTAAGTATCTACCCTAAAGGTACTACCAGTAGGTAAGAAGAATTAATTTTTGGAAATACCACATTTATCTGTAAGAGAAAAAGTCTGTAGTATCAGTTACATCTATGTTCCCCATATAGTCATATCTTATTGCTTCTGTTTACAGAATAGAACTCTACGCATAAATAAAAGAAAAAAAACTTTACTGTAGGAACAAGTAGTGAAAATAATTTATTTGCCAATTTGCATTTAATTAACAATGTCATTTTAGCATCATATGTGTGCCCCTGCAACTCACAACCTCCCACTTTTTCAAACTTTTTTTTTTAATCTTCAAATCCTTTTTACAGAAAAACACACAAAAAAATTGCTTTCAGCTGTGACTTCATTCTGTATGTCTAAAAGTACTATGATTTTCCAATCTTGGGTCTGGCAATATCCTTGTTTATTCTTTTAAAAAAATAAGTAAAATTGAAAGAAAACTAATAACTAAATTGGATTACACTATGTCCCATTTTGTAGTCACTGGAAAACTTCATATGCAAATAGCTTTTACACAATCTCATTAATTCTTTTTTTAATATGTTTTTCAGCTTAAATATGGACTAGTACTACAGAGACCCATCTTTCTATAGTTTAATTAATATCTCTATTTAAATTGTATGAAACTTCCAGAGAGAATGTGAGTCATTGTCAAAGTAGTATCTGTATAACATCTGATGGTTAATGAGATGGGTTTGTGGTTTGAGGAATGCTGTTTATAACAGGGAGATTTAAAGTTGAGTTCCCCTGGACAACAGTGACTCAACTCTTTCCCAATTTACAAAGAAGCATTAGTCATGAAGTGATAACTGGATCTTTCAATAATTAGGTCTTACTCCTTCATTCTTATAGCTTCTATTAGATCTCCCATTTCTAAATTGCCAGAAGAAATGAACTTGCAAGTGCCTTTACTTTATGCCAAATTTCCCTCAATATTTCCTAGTTACAGTAGCAAAACATAGTAATGTCTGGCTTTTCACAGCATGCAAGACCTTCGCCACAATAGTTTCCAGCTGCCTGCCTGCCTTTACAGCCTTAAAAGACGTTCTGTCCACTTAACTTTCATTTCTTCTCAGCCAAAGTTTTTATGCTCCCCATCTGTTGTAGGCCATTTTCTTCCATTCAACTTTATTCATCAGAAGCTAAATGAGGCCTCACCTTGAGCATACCTCCTAATCACACATTCCTATGGCAACCAATTCTGTATAATTGCTTGAGTCCTTTAAGGTCATTATTGTGTATTCTTTCCAAGGGACTATCCTTCTAGCAGAAAAGATAAGTTGTTCTTGGATAATGTTGATTTTAACCTAAAGTAGGTAATATAGTAGGAGAAATAACCACATAATATGAATTGAAGAGTATAAGAAAGATTTTGAAAAAAAAACATTAGATTCTTCATACAAAGCCTTTTTTAAATTTAAATATGAATAGTCTTGGGAGAGTTACTATGGACTGAATGTTTGTGTCCCCCAGAAATTTATAGGTTGAAAACCCTAATACCCAATGTGATGGTATTTGGATATGGGGACCTTTGGAAGGGATTAGGTCATGAGAGTTACCTTATAAAGGGATTAGCGCCCATCTAAGAGGAGACACGAGTGAGCCCACTTCCTCTCTCTGCTCTCTAACATATTCTCTGTCTGCAAACCAAGAATAATACTTTCAACATGAACTTGTCCATACTAGCACCCTGATCTCAGACTTCCATCTTCCAGAACCATGAGAAATAAATGTTTCTTGTTTAGCTATCCAGTCTGTTACAGTAGCCTGAAGTGGGTAAGGCAGCTTAATTCAGCAAAGTAATCACATAATAAAAACAGAGACATAAAACCTCTGTCTCCATGACAGGCTCATAAAGATACAAAGTATGAAAGGCACAATGAAATAGAAAAAAGGTATACAATAAAATGAGGTAAACCTTGCTGAAAGATAATTCTATCTAATTGAAATGTGGTCCTTTCCCAGAGACTCACTTTTTTGCTCATAGACTATAAATAATGTAAATTAGATTGAACAATAACTAGTTTTGAATTACATACTTTATTTTAATCATTCATTTTAGGTTTGTCTTTTCAATGAGATGGTTTACAGCCAGAATTTGTGTTACTTCCTTAGAGTACAATGCTCATTTTTAAAGCTTCCACAAACCTCCTGGATAAAAAGAGATCAGAGAAAAGTATCTCACTATAAGCACCTAAAAACATTTCAGTCAATAAAATTACTTCTAGATGATGCTATTAGAATAATGTATTTTAAATGAAGGATGAAAGACTGCCAAATGTACCTAAGATTTTAACAATTTCTGTGTCACACTTTATTTTACCATTTTTAACATTGTTTAAAGATTTCTTCATCCCTTTCGTGGTCTTTTGGACAAAGATAATGTTTACATTATGAATTAAAATGAAATAGATTTATAGGAAAATGCATAGTATGAACAGAAACTGGAAAAAATGTTCATCAATTAGTAGTTTACCAAAGCATATCACAATTTGTTGGCCAAATTTTAGTATCTCTTTTTAGGCATATACTTGAAATTCATAACAAAAAATACAAGCTTCAATAAGTTCCATAGGCCTCCCTTTTGGTTTTTATCTTAGGGATACCAGATGAAACTTGAAATTTTGTATAACAACTAAATTTATATTAGTTAGTAATGAAAATATAGCTCACTGTTTACATTTCTAAGTACAATTTGGAGCAAATATATTATAAAAGCCATTCTTAAGAAGCTCCTGGTGGCTGGGCATGGTGGCTCACACCTGTAATCCTACTATTTTGGGAAGCTGAGGCGGGTGGGTCACTTGAGGTCAGGAGTTCGAAATCATCCTGGCCAATATGGTGAAACCCCGTCTCTATTAAAAATACAAAAAAAAATTAGCCAGGTGTGATGGCAGGTACCTGTAATCCCAGCTATTTGGGAGGCTGAGTGAGGCAGGTGAATCACTTGAACCCAGGAAGTGGAGGTTGCAGTGAGCTAAGATGGTGCCACTGCACTCCAGCCTAGGACACATCTCAAAAAAAAAAAAAAAAAAAAAAAAAAAAAAGAAGCTATTGACTAATTTTGCAATTTTACAAGAAAAATGTAGCTACAGTTTTGTGGGTAATTGTCAATACTATTTACAAAGAATATATACATAGCATCTACAGGATGGAAATCAGGATATTTGAGTAAGAGTAGAAACCAAGACCCTTTTTTAGAATACAGGAAACTTCATTAGTATTTAGTCCCAATTTCTCACTAGTGTTGGCTTAAGAAATTTATAGATATTTTTCTCAAGGATAAATATGATAGCTGTAAAAGCTAAAGTGTGTGATCTCAGACAAATTACTTAACCTCTCATTCACAGTTTGCTTCTAAAATTTTCTTTTCTCAATTCTGTACCCCAAAGGGTACATGCAGACAATTTTGGAAATCACTGGTATAGTGAAAAGAAATAGGCTTTAAAATGTAATGCCTTCATGAGACTAAAAATACCACCCTCATAGAAGTATAGTTAAGAATAAATGGGCCGGGTGCGGTGGCTCACGCCTGTAATCCCAGCACTTTGGGAGGCTGAGGCGGGTGAATCACGAGGTCAGGAGATTGAAACCATCCTGGCTAACATGGTGAAACCCCGTCTCTACTAAAAATACAAAAAAATTAGCCGGGCGTGGTGGTGGGCCCCTATAGTCCGAGCTACTCCGGAGCCTGAGGCAGGAGAATGGCGTGAACCCGGGAGGCGGAGCTTGCAGTGAGCAGAGCTCGCGCCACTGCACTCCAGCCTGGGTAACAGAGCAAGACTCCATTAAAAAAAAAAAAAAAAAAAAGAATAAATGAGGCCGGGCGCGGTGGCTTATGCCTGTAATCCCAGCACTTTGGGAGGCCGAGGCGGGCAGATCACCCAGATCACCTGAGGGGAGGAGTTTGAGACCAATCTGACCAATATGGTGAAACACCGTCTCTACTAACATACAAAAATTAGCTGGCCATGGTGGCGGGCACCTGTAGTCCCAGCTACTCAGAGGCTGAGACAGGAGAATTGCTTGAACCCAGGAGATGGAGGTTGCAGTGAGCCAAGATCATGCCACTGCACTACAGCCTGGGCGACAGAGCAAGACTCCGTCTCAAAAAAAAAAAAAAAAAAAGATAAATGAGATAATTATATAAACGTTTCTAGCATAGAGCCAGATGTGTGCCCCAGATTCATAGTTTCATAGGTTGAAAACCCTAATCCCCAAAGTAACAGTATTTGGATATGGGGAACTTTGGAAGGAATTAGGTAATGAGAGTGGAGACTTTATGAAGGGTAAAATTAGTACCCTTCCAAGAGGAGACACTTAGGCCTGATGAAGGCACTCAGTAAACAGTAACAGTTCTCTTCTTTTTTAATTCAATTATTCAACAAACCTTTATTGACTAATTGTAAATAACTGGTGCTGGATGCTGGGAATACAAAGGAGCTTGTGGTTTAATGAAGAGACAGACGAATAAACATAAGCAATGTAGTAAGAATATTTTAATACTAGAGACCTATTCCTTCAACTGGTATTATCTGAGCACTGCTGTGAACCAGACATTGCCAACTTTTAAGGTAAGACTGAATCCTAGTAGGAAAGGTCTCCAATTATTGATTCTATTTCTTTAATGAATCCAAGAGGATTAATGTTTTCTCTTTTAATCATGTCAGTTTTGTTGAGTTTTAAGAAAAATTTTCATCTATATTTTCAAATTTATTAGTAAAAATTTGTTTATGTATTTCATCGTTTTAATGTCTGTACAATCTGTGATGATGTCTCCTTTTTCATTTCAATATTAAACATTTGTGTCTTCTTTCTCTTGTCTTTTATTAATAACACCAAAGATTTATCAAACTTATTACTCTTCTATAAAATTAAATTTTGGCTTTTTAAAATTTCTTATAAACTTGTTTTCTATTTTATTAATTTCTATTCTTATCCTCATTATTTTCTTCTTTCCACTTTTTTAGTTTAATATTCTGTTCTTTTCCTATCTTATAAAGATGAATTGTTGATTTTTAGCTTTCTTCTATAATAAATTTATTCAAAAGTTTATCTCTAAACAGGGCTTTATATGCATTCCACAAATTTTAATATGTCATATTTTTATCAGCATTCAGTTCAAAATGTTTTCTAATGTCTGTGGTAATGCTTCTTTTAACCCATGGATTATTCATGATAGAACTGCTCAATTTCCAATCACTTAGAAATTTTCTAGTTGACATTTTTTTCATTAATTTCTAGTAATAATCCAATTGTGCTCACTGAATACATGCTGATATTCAATCTGATGTTCATCTGCTTTTCTATCTGATAAAATGTGTTGAGCCGGCCAAGCTATGGAAAATGTTTTATATAAGTTTTCTTCAGTTGCTGAGTGCAGTCTTCCATGTGTAAATACATATTTATATGTTAGATAATGTTTGCTATTGCTCAAATCTTCCATATTCTTCTCTCTGCTCAATCTGTTACTTAGAAATGTTATGTTAAAGTCTTCCACTTTAATTGTTGTTTTGTCCATTTAGTACTGTCAATGCTTGCTTTATATATTCTGAAGCTATTCCATTTGATACATATAATATGGAAATTATTATATCTTCCTTAAAGATTGAAACTTTTACCATTATTACTTATCTCTCTTTATCACCTATAATGCTTTTTTGTCTTGTAGTCCAGTTTTTCTGATGTTAATTTCATTATATCAGCTTTCTTCTGGTTGCTGTTTGCATGACATATCTTCTTCAATCCTTTTTCATTCGACCTTTCACTGTGCTTATATTTAACCTCTGAGTAGCAGAGCAAAATATTTATCTTTGCATCCAGTCTTACTATCTTTGTCATTTAATTGGTGTCATTCATCTGCTCACATTTAATGTAATGATTGATCTGAGTTAAATCATCTATACTATTGTTTTCTTTTTCTTGCATTATTTTGGATTGTGTGGTTGCTGTTATCTTTATTCCTCTCTATTCACTAGTTAGTTACACATTCTTTTTACTACTAGAGGTTATTCTATGATTACAATAAGCAATCTTAATTTTTTTAAGTCTAATAGTATTTTTACCATTTCTTAGACAATAGAACCATAGAATAATTGAATTCCATAAATTCTCTCTCATACTTTGTGCTGTTTTGTTATATACTTTTAAACCAGCAGCATATAGTTAGCATTGGTTAATACAATCAATATTCATTTGGATACATCCATATGTTTACTCTTATAGCTTTTTATTTCTTTCTGCATTTTTATGCTTTCAATAGGGATTATTTTCCTTCTGTGTGAAGTACTTCATTAGTGGTTCTTGTAGTACAGATCTCCTGAAGATAAATTCTTTCAGTCTTTGTTTATCTTAAAATATTTATTTTACGATTTTTTTTTTTTTTTTGAGATGGAATCTTGCTCTGTCACCCAGGCTGGAATGCAGTGGTGTGATCTCAGCTCACTTCAACCTCCACCTCCCAGGTTCAAATGATTCTTCTGCCTCAGCCTCCCAAGTAGATGGGATTACAGGTGCCTGCCACCACACCCAGCTAATTTTAGTATTTTTAGTAGAGACAGGAGCTCACCATGTTGGCCAGGCTGGTCTCAAACTCTGACCTCAGATGATCCACCCAGCTCAGCCTCCCAAAGTGCTGGAATTACAGGCGTGAGCCACTGCACCCTGCCTACATTCGTTTTTGAAGGATATATTTTTTAGAATAGAATTTTGTGGCTGATTTATATATTACATATAATACTTTTTAGAACTTTGAGTTATAGTTTCAATGTCTTCTGCCTTCCATTGTTTTTGTTGTTGTTGTTTTGGTTTGGTTTTGGTTGGTTGGTTATCTGTTTGAAACAGGGTCTCACTCTGCTGCCCAGGCTGGAGTGCAGCAGTGTGATCATGGCTCACTGTAGCCTCAATCTCCCTGGCTCAAGAGAGCTTCCTGCCTCAGCCTCTGGAATAGCTAAGACTAGAGATACATGCCACCATGTCTGGCTAATTTTTGTATTTTTTTGTAGAGACAGGGTCCCATTATGTTGCCCAGGCTATTCCCAAACTCCTGGGCTCAAGCAATACTCCTGCCTTGGCCTCTGAAAGTGCTGAAATTACAGGTGTGAGCCACCACACCTGCCCTTCCATAGTTAAAAAGTCAACTATCAGATTTATTGTGGCCTATTTGACAGTAATACATCTCTTTATTTGATCTAATTTTATGTTTTTCTTTTTTGTTTGTTGATTGGTTTGGTTTTTTGCTATGGGTTTCAGCAGTTTTATTATTATTTGCCTACATATGTTTTTCTTGATACTTATCCTGCTCTGAGTCCTTTGCACTTCTCCAATATGTGGCTTGAATTCTCTAATTAGTTTAGAAATTGCTCAGCCATTATATTCTCAAACATTGCTTCTGCGCTATTCTCTTTCTTCTTCTGGAACTTCAACTACACATATGTCAGACCTTTGTCTCACATATTTCTTATATTCTTTTCTACATGTTTCTTTTATTCTATATAAACACTTCCTTATTCTCTACATGCCAAATTACTTTCTCTTTAGCCATACCAAATATTCCATTAAGCTACCCATTAACTTTTTTCAGTTATTTACTTTGACTTCTAGAATTTTTACAGGATATTTTTTTGCAATTGCTAGTTCCTCCTTGACGACTAATTAGAGTTATTATAAAGTCCATGTTAACAGAAGTATCTGGATCTCTTGAGAGTGTATTTCTATCATTCTTTTTTCTTTAACTTCAAAGAGTTTATTTTAATTATTAGTTGGTACTGCATTTCTAGAAACTTTGGTGATCCCAAAACAGCACACCAATAGACATGACCGATATGATACTGACAAAATGCATATCTCACTGGTCAAGCAGAAATATTTCCTTTTGCAAATGTTCTGAGGAACAATGATTAAAATTATACAAGGACTGAAAATATAATTTTAATAAAGCAAACATAAACTGCACGTGTAAAGGGGAAACATCAAAGCTGGCAAGAGTCCTTTGGCTTTCTTAAAAATCGTATCCTTATAATTCACTAACTCTCAGAGGATGAAGTATCATTCTAGGAAAACTAAAATGATTGCAGATTGTTTTTCCTATGATGCTTTATGTATCAGAGTAACTTGTAAATTCTGGTCTGCTGTTATTTGGCCATCACTTTCCTTGTCCGAGTCATTCTTTTCTTATTTCCAACTTTTATTTTTAAGTACAAGGGTACATGTGCAGGTTTGTTACATAGATAAACGTGTGCCATGGTGGTTTGCTACACAGATCATCCCATCACCTAGATATTAAGCCCAGCATCCATGAACTATTCTTCCTGAGGCTGTCCTTCATTATCCCTCCTCCCACTCTCTGACAGGCATTAGTGTGTGTTGTTGTCCCCCTTATGTGTCCAGGTGTTCTCATCATTCAGCTGCCACTTATAAGTGAGACCAGAAAGTATTTGGTTTTCTATTACCATGTTAGTTTGCTGAGGATAATGGCTTCCAGCTCCATCCACGTCCCTGCAAATAACATGATCTCATTCCTTTTTATGGCTGAATGGTATTCCATGGCATATATGTACTACATTTTCTTTATCCAGTCAATTATTGATGGACATTTAGGTTGATTCCATGTCTTTGCTATTGTGAATAGTGCTGCAGTGAACATACGGGTGCATGTATCTTTATAATAGAATGATTTGTATCTCATTGGGCATATACCCAGTAATGGGTTGATGGGTCAAATAATATTTCTGCCTCTAGGTCTTTGAGGAATCATGACACTGTCTTCCACAATGGTTTAACTAATTTACACTCCCACCAACAATGTAAAAGCATTCCTTTTTCTCTACAACCTCACCAGCATCTGTTGTCTTTTGACTTTTTAATATTAATAATAGCCATTCTAACTGGGGTTAGGTGGTATCTCACTGTGGTTTTGATTTGCATTTCTCTAATGATCAGTGATGTTGAGCTTTTTTTCATGTTTGTTGGCCCCATGTATGGCTTCTTTTGAGAAGCGTCTGTTCATGACCTTTGTCCACTTTTTAATGGGGCTGTTTTTTTCTTGTAAATTTGTTTAAATTCCTTATAGATGCTGGATATTAGACCTTTGTCAGATTAATAGATTGCAAAAAAAAAATTCCCATTCTGTAGGTTGTCTATTCATTCTGTTGCTGGTTACTTTTGTTGCACAGAAACTCTTTATTTTAATTAGATCCCACATGTCAATTTTTGCTTTTCTTGCAATTGCTTTTGGCATCTTTGTCATGAAATTTTTGCCCGTGTCTATGTCCTGAATGGTATTGCCTAGGTTTCTTATAAGGTTTTTATAGTTTTAGGTTTTTGTTGTTGTCGTTTCAGTTTTTTGTTTGTTTTTGAGATGGAGTCTCGCTCTATCACCAGGCTGGAGTGCAGTGGTGCGATCTTGGCTCACTGCAACCTCCGACTCCCTGGTTCAAGTGATTCTCCTGCCTCAGCCTCCCGAGTAGCTGGGATTACTGGCACGTGCCACCACACCCAGTTAATTTTTGAATTTTTTTTAGTAGAGATGGGGTTTCATCATGTTGGCCTGGATGGTCTCGATCTCCTGACCTTGTGATCCATCCGCCTCAGCCCCCAAAGGGGCCAAGACACAGGCATGAGCCACTGTGCCCGGCCTATAGGTTTGTGTTTTACATTTCAATCTTTAATCCATCTTGCATTAACTTTTGTATATGGTATAAGGAAGGGGTCCAGTTTCAATTTTTTCATATGGCTAGCCAGTTCTCCCAGCACCATTTATTAAATAGGGAATCTTTCCCCATTGTTGCTTTTGTCAGGTTTGTTGAGGATCAAATGGTTGCAGGTGTGCAGTCTTATTTACGGATTCTGTATTCTATTCCATTGGTCTATGTGTCCGTTCTTGTAGCAGTACCATGCTCTTTTGGCTATAGTATAGTATAGTATAGTATAGCCTTATAGTATAGTTTGAATTCTGGCAGCATGATGCCTCCAACTTCTTTCTTTTTGCTTAGGATTTTCTTGGCTATTCAGGCTCCTTTTTGGTTCCACATGAATTATAAAATATTTTTTTCTAATTCTGTTAAGAATGTCAATGGTCGTTTAAAGGGAATAGCACTGAATCTATAAACTGCTTTGGGCAGTATGGCCGTTTCCATGATACTGATTCTTCCTATCCATGAGCATGGAATGTTTTTCCATTTGCTTGTGTCATCTCTAATTTCTTTGAGCAGTGGTTTGTAGCTCTCCTTGAAGAGATTTCTCACCACCCTGGTGAGCTGCATTCCTATGTATTGTATTCATTTTGTGGCAGTTGTGAATGGGAGCTCATTCGTGATTTGGCTCTTGGCTTGCCTGTTATTGGTGTACAGGAATGCTAGTGATTTTTGCACATTGATTTTGTATCCTGAGACTTTGGCGAAATTGCTTATCAGCTTAAAAAGCTTTTGGGTTGAGACGTGGGCTTTTCTAAGTATAGGATTATGTCATCTGCAAATGGTGATACTTTGACTTCCTCTCTTCTTATCTGAATACACTTTATTTCTTTCTCTTTATTTCTTGCCTGATTGCCCTGGCCACAACTTCCAATACTATGTTGAATAGGAGTGGTGAGAGAAGGCATCCTTGTCTTGTGCTGATTTTCAAAGGGAATGCTTTAAGCTTTTGCCCATTCAGTATGATATTGATTGTGGGTTTGTCATATATGGCTCTTGTCGTTTTGAGGTATGTTCCTTCAATATCTAGTTTATAGAGAATTTTTAACATTAAGGGATGTTGAATTTTATTGAAGGCCTTTCTGCATCTATTGAGATAATCATGTAGCTTTTGCCTTTAGTTCTATTTACGTGATAAATCACAATTATTGATTTATGTATGTTGGACCAACCTTACATCCCAGGGATGAAGCCTACTTAATTGTGGTGGATAAGCTTTCTGATGTGCTGCTGAATTTGGTTTGCCAGTATTTTGTTCAAGCGATTATCCTGCCTCAGCCTCCCGAGTAGCTGGGATTACAGGCACGTGCCACCATGCCCAGTTAATTTTTGTATTTTTAATAGAGACAGGGTTTCACCATGTTGGCCAGGATGGTCTCAATCTCCTGACCTCGTGATCCACCCACCTCAGTCTCCCAAAGTGCTGGGATTACAGGCATGAGCCACCATGCCAGGCCCAGCTCTTCTTTTAAAGGACTCACTTGATTAAGTCAGAGCTACCCATAATAATCTCTCTTTTGTCATTTAAATGTAACATGATCACATGAGTGATATGATTAATTTTGTGTGTCACCTTGACTGAGCTAAGGAATGCCCAGAAAGCTGGTAAAATATTATTTCTGAGTATGTCTGTGAGGGTATTTCTGGAAGAGATTAGCATTTGAATCAGAGATTAAGTAAAGAAGATCTACCCTCACCAATGTGGGTAGCCATCATTTAATCCAAAGAGGGCCTGAATAGAACAGAAAGGCAAAGGAAAAGCAAATTCCATCTTTTGTCTTGAGCTTAGACATCCATATTCTCCTGTATTGATACATTAGCGCTCCTGTGTTTTGAGCCTTTGGATCCAGGACTTACATCAGAAGCTGCCCACCTCTACTCCACTCCCAACTTCCTTATTCTCAGGCCTTTGGTCTCAGACCAGAAGTTACACCATTCGCTCCCCTGGTTATAACAGACCTGCAAACTGAGACTGAATTGCACCACTGGCTTTCCTGTTCTCCAGCTTGCAGTTGGCAGATCATGGGACTTCTCAGCCTTCATAATTGCACGAGCCAATTCCCATAATAAATCTCCTCATCCACATATATCCTATTGGTTCTGTTTCTCTGGAGAACCCTAACTAATAAAAGTAATGTCTCATATTCACAGGTTCTATCCCTACTCGAGAAAATTATACAGGACTCATACATCCAGAGGTACAAATCTTAAAGGCTAGCTAGTATCCTACTTACCACAATCCATGTTGTTGCATGTATGAGTGGTTCAGCATTTATATTGCTGAGTAGTATTCTACTGTATGAATATACTACGATGTGTTTATCCACTCTCCTGTTGAGGGACATTTGGAGACACAGTACAAATATTGGTTCTGCCATTTACTACCTATGTGATTTTGGATGAATCATTTGATATCCATATGCCTCAATTTCCTCACCTACAAAATGATAATTGTACCTATTTTATGGGGTATCTATAAGAAGTAAATCAGATAATCCAATAAAAGTAGTTCCCTGGTACACAGAAAGTTCTTTATAGGCATTAACCATTATTATCAATATTATTGCTAACTGGAAAAATATTAGGATTAATTGAATGAAAATAAATAAACACATTAAAAAAATAGTGACATTAGATATTTATTTTTAATTAAATGCCTTTTTTTTCTTTTTTTTTTAGATAGGGTGTTGCTCTGTCACCCAGGCTGGAGTGCAGTGGCACAATCTTGGCTCACTGCAACCTCCGCCTCCTGGCTTCAAGTGATTCTCATGCCTCAACCTCCTGAACATCTGGGATTACAGGTGCCAGCTATGACACCCGGCTAATTTTTGTATTTTCAGTAGACACAGGGTTTCACCATGTTGGTCAGGCTGGCTCAAACTCCTGACCTCAAGTGATCTGCTCACCTCGCCTCACAAAATGCTGGGATTATAGGTGTGAGCCACCGTGCCTGGCCTAATTAAATTACCTTTTAACAAGTTTAGTGTCACAGAACTTGTTTAAGATTATTGCATTCTGTAGACTATTTTGCGTATTGGCCACTGGGGAAGCATGCAGGAAATACAGACCAAACAGAACTAGGTTAAAAATACAAAGGAGAGGTATACAACATAAAACTGTGCTAAATCAAAAATACGACTATTGCACATGATTTATGTCATGCTCACAGTGGAAAATGCATGTGAGACCAGAATGAATAACCATGAACCCAATATGGAATTATAGCACATTTTAGTCAAATATCTCTATTGTCCCAGGGTTCTTCTGACAATGTGTAAAACCCATGTCAAGACTTAGTCAGCATTTGTGATCCTTTAGGAACTTTGTTTTAGGCTAATAAATTAATCTGTTGCATCATTTAAAATCCCCGTTTTCTATTTAAAGCAATTAATATGAGTAGGTTAGTTCTTTCTAGAGTCTTTGCAACCACTTCATGGAGTGATTAAAGGAAAATATATAGATAGCACCTATCAGCTATCAAAGCACATTCCCGAACAGTAATTAATTTTCTCATTTCCAAATGCTAAGATTAAATTTTTACTAAGTGAATGACTAATAAAATTTAATAACAGAAATAAAATAAGTTCCAAGTAACAGAAAAATATCATTATCAAACATGTGTTGGAAATTGAGAATTTTAATTTTAATCTCATTTTAGTTTTTATACTATACTGCTGAAAACTTGAAATTGATGCTTTTAAAATATATTTCTTCTACTATTTTATATTTTTGGTAACAGCATATTTCACAAATACATGAAGAAGTGGTAGACTCCATCTTTGGGATAATACCATCACTGGGATAAGACACTACTAAAAGTTGGCTTATGTTTAGAAATGTCTAAGATCATCAAAAAGCATATATTGCTAAAATTGTTAACTGGTTTTAGTGTATTTTTCCTGCCACAAATTATATTCTTAACATTGTACCCCTCCTTATTCTAAAATCAAGTTCTTCTCCCTGCTAAGCTTCACCAGAAAATGTACTTCTTTGGCTCTTATGAGAAAATTTCTATCTGGAAAAAGTTCTATAACTAAACATGATTGACACAGATCTGACCTGTAGCCATGTAACTAGGAAAATTACTTGAAAATTGTTTTAAACTGACCGACTTATACATTAAAAGCCTCTTGAACATGATGTTATTCAAATACAAAATGCCAAAAAGCAGCTATTAATTTGTTACTAGAGTTTCCAAGGTGTGGGAAATTCAGCAATGATGATGCAAGATAAACTCTTGTCTTAACACTGTTGAGACAAAGTACACACAGAGAAATCATCACAAAAGCACTGAGAGAGATGGAGATGTAATTTATAGGTGCTGAAGAAACTGGAAGGATCACTTCCTATAAACTAAAAGGAAAAAGAAACCTAATTGGCTTGCCTGTTTGAATATTCAAACAGTTGATGAATGAATATGTTGAATATTCATTCAAATATCTATTTAACATGTATTAACTTATACTGTCTGTACTGGCCAAGTTCATTCCAAACAGGACATGCATATGAAGATTTGTTAGTGGCTGTATCTCAGAAGGTGTTTTAAGCTTATACTAAATTTTCAATAAAATGGTTAATGTTTTTCACTATTTTTAGGCAATTTGCTCCAAGTAAGCATCCAAACTCCATACCTGTAAAGGTTTTTTTTACAAAGTGCTATTTAGTTAAAAAGGTAAATGATGTAGGAAGTACATGATAAGAAGAAACTGCAACGTTTTAAAATCCCTTGCCTTGAGCCTGGAAAGCTTAAGAATATGGGGGAGGTGGAGGGAAGTGTTTACATCACTCAAAACATAGCTACAGCTGTTTTGAATCACAGGCGAGGTTTTAAAAATGTTCTTAAAACTGAGCTCAGAATACCTAAAGAGAGGTTCCCTACACATTGAAAGGGACATTTACCTTCTTCAAAACATAGTTTTCTAAGTTACTACATTATTTGGCTTTGTTTTAATGTGACCAATTTAATGTTTTAATGGCAAAAGATAAGACTCTTTCTGCCTTTGAAAAAACCAAAATGCTCCATCGTCCCAGCAGCTGTGTATGATTAAGAATGTAAATAGACTCAAGAGGCTGATTCCATCTCCAGGTCCTCTGTTCATGAATCACCTACCCAGAGACATAATTTTAATGGAAATAGAATTTCTTTCTAAAGCAACAAATAAATTAACTTGCAGGAATACTGCAGCAAGACAACTCCTCTTTACTAGCTCTGTTGTACTGAACAAAACCAGGCTCCATTTCCTTTGTTTTAAGACATTTTTAACAGTTGACCTGTAGTCAGGAAATGAGAATTTCTCTGTTTTTCATTTTCTGGGAAAATAAAAATATTAAGGCTGCCTTTCCAGTAACAGCAGCTTAAATTCCAGACCTCGTTATGGCAAGTGAAAGACCTTTTACTGAGGATGCAATATTTTTGATAGTGAAAGTAGACTGCATTACTTCAGGCTGTTCAAACCAAGATTGAGTTGACTGGCTCTGCTTACCTGGCCATCCTTGACCTAGATTTGTGTGTTTGATTTACAGATCAAAATGAAATCCTCTCTAATCTGGGGCTGCAAAGAAATTGTGCTGTATTATTTATCCAATTGTTTAGTGCAAAGGACCCATTTCAAGTAAGTGAAGGATAATCCTATATGAATACAAAACTTCAGTAAAAATAATAAGTTATCTGAAATCAGAGGCTCTAGCTGGAACTGAAGCTAAAAGCAAATTAATTCAGTCTCACAGACATTACTGTACTGCCCATTAAATATAAACCATAGTGCTTGGCCATACACCCAGTTTTGATTTCTGCCTCTCAGATGGTGTGATGCGGGAAGAAAGTACATACATGGCATTAATATGTAAATAGAGTTGCCATACTACATTAGAATCAGACTCAAAACATTCTGTGACTATTAATTCTTAATACTGGTCTGAAGACCACAGGATATGAATCATAAAAAGGAAAGCAACTCAGAGAATAAAATTCAGTGGCCATGGTGACCATTAATAGTCATGTTTTAGGTTGGAATTTAATAAATATTAAAATAACATAAATTATATGTACTAATTTATCTTTTTACTATCACCCTTACTTTACACCATCTTTCTAAACACTGGCTAAAAGTCATACAGGATACAATCACCATCACTAATATTCTGTTGGTCTCATGTAGAACAGCGGCTGATAGTGATGAAAGGCACTTCATTTAATATGAACACGATCAATTAACCACATTATACTGAGTTATCCAGATATATTTGTGAGTCTGTCAAATTTTTTGATATAATGAACTGAATTATTAATTCAACTGGTCCTCTTGACTTTGGTTGCAGAAACCCAGCCTGAAAACAAAGCAAAATGGAATAGGTAGTGTGTCCACAGTCTGATTACAAGTATAATTTTTGTGACTATAGTCATTTACCTGAAAAATGCACCCATTCATTCCCTTATTTGAAGTTTCATTTATAAATTTTTCACTCCATGGCATTTATCCTTCTTTAGAGATATACTTTCTTCTCTTGTCTGAAAATCACCGTAGGTTTTTGTTTCAACAGAAAATTACACTCACAAAATGACACAAGATAGATTCTGCTCACAGAATTCTAGAAAAAGCCTGACATTTTATAGATTTTTATAAATTTACTCTTTTTTTTTTTTTTTTTTTTTTTAGAGATAGGATCTGGATCTGTTACCCAGAGATGAAATACAGTCGCATGATCATAGCTCATTGCAGCCTCGAATTCTTGAGTACAAGCAATTTTTCCAACTCAGCCTCCTGAGTAACTGTGACTACAGGCACCATACACCTCACCCAGCTTAAATCCACTCTTAATGCTAAAGCACATGCCCTAGTCAGTCAGGAATGCAAGTTTCATTGTTCAATTAGCATTTTCTATAGTATTCTGTAAGGAATTAATGAAATAAGAAAATTATCGTTAGTTTGTCATTAATACTTTCTGTGAGAAGTCTTAGAAATGAGATTTAGATTTTTACTTCTAACTGGGAAACAAGATGGAAAAACTTCAATAATTGCATAAATTCAGAATAGAACTACTACTTAATTTCTTAAAAACTATTCACTTAATTCTAAAAATGGAATTATTTTAATGGAAAAATAAAAATACAAGCTTTATAACACCTTTTTATAATACTGAATTTATTTGTGACAAATTAACCAATTATTTTTTAAGTGGCTTTCCTAATGAAATTACTGAAGCTTTGCTGTTTATGTATGAAATCACTCAAGCAGACTTGAAAACCTAAAGAATGTCATAATAGTTTTCCATCCACACCCAAACCACAGTTTGATGGAAACTTTAAAATGGAAAGTAGAGCACTTAGAATCTGTTTGCTTTATAATTATAATTCAGGCTGAAAAAATAGAGTTCAATGTCATGCAATTAATGGAAGAGAGCAATATGAAAGCTTCTCTCTTAGAAGTATGTTGTATTCTGTACATGAAATACTTCGAGTCACACTTTCAATCAGAAGTAGAGGAATTTAACTTATTTTTATAAGATAAGTTATGAAAAGAGAGAGCTACTGAATCATTTCCACCAGTGATACTAAAAGCTAGATAAAATAACATAGAATTTATTTTTTAACATAACTTTCTACATATACACTTTGAAATCTGTTTTACTTTGAGAGGAAAATATTGTCTAATTAAATTATTTCCATCATATTTAATGTATACTAGAGATATCATTTAGTCATCAAACTTGGCCATTAACAAAAGACAACTTATGCCATGTAATCCCAGAGCTTTCAGAGGCCAAGTTGGGAGGATTGCTCAAGGCCAGGAGTTCAAGACCAGCCTGACCAAGACCCCCATCTCTACAAGAAAATGAAAAAAAATTAGCCGGGCATGGTGGTGCATACCTGCAGTCCTAGCTGCTGGGAAGTCGGAGGCAGGAGGATTGCTTGAGCCCAGGAGTTCGAGGCTGCAATGAGCTATGATCACACCAATTCACACTAGCCTGAGCGACAGAGTGACACCCTGTCTCTTAAAAAAAAAGACCAAATAATTATCAAATAAACACTAATAGAGCATTATAATCATATATCTGCCACATTTTTCAATAATGCTTTGTTTTTTTAATCTAGAAGTTAGATATATGGACTTTAGTGATTTGATATAAAGACAAACTCAAGGCTTGTTTATGTTTACATAACAAAACAAAAATTATGTGAATATATATGCAATTGCCTAAATTTTTAGTGAATTGATGTATTTTATGAATGCAATTAGAAGGTAACTCAGTAACATTAAGAATAACTAAATTTTTACAGTACAAATGGTCACATATTATCCTCTTGAAGTAATATGTCAAAGTACTTTAAAATTATAATTATTAACTTTAAATTAAAGAAAATTTTGCATTTATATTTCCAACTGTTTAAGCATGACTAAATCTGGCCTCATCCTTTCTTTCTAGTCTCAGCACCGAATTACTCCCTCCATGTGTCTCTAAGAAAACCGTATCAGTGTTTTTTTATGTTTCCCAAACCCATCATACTAGTGCTCATTTCATTCTGCTACCTGGAAAATACCTTCCATTTTACTGCCTAGATAAATTATCCTCCATCTTTAAATGATGATATTAATAATATTGACGCCCAACTCCAATATCACCTTCTCTGTAAAGTCTTCTTTATTTTCTCAGAAATATAGATTGGCTCTTCTGTGCTGACAGATTTTTTTCTTTGCCAATATAATAATAAATTATGATTTGATGTCTATGTGCTTTAAACCTAAGTTACAACGAATGTTCCTTAAGACTAGGACCTGCTTCAATCGTTTTTTTTATTCTAGCACAATACCTGAGATAGAATCTCAACAAATATCTTTTAAAAGAGAAAGGGAAGGGCAGAGCAAGAAGGAAAAGAAAGTAGTTAGGTGTTCATTCTAATAACTCCACCTACTTTTTTTTGGAAAATTATCAGAAGCACAAATTATCACATGGTTGGAAATCTATGAACTATCACCAGCACAATTCAGATGTCGGTAGACTTTCAAAGTATTTCACATATCAATATAGCATTTTAATATTTGGAACTATAGCAGTAAGAAGTTATATAGGTGTTGAATCAACATCTGACTATTACTGCAAGTCTTTGGGAAAATAGAAGTTCTGAGTTATTACTCAAATGATAATATCAATAAGATCTTGTTTGATTTTTTTTAAAAAGCACATGATTAGGGTGAACAGCTTTCTAATTAAAAAACAGTTAAACAAAACTTGGCATTTATAGGAAAGAAAATCATATTGTTTTTAAGAAAAGAGTTTCAAGTACTAGCTAACATTTACTTCAAGCAACAGTTTCCCAGGAATGAATTGCTACATACTAATGGGGTCAAAGACACTAGACGATTCTCCAGAGGCCCTTTTCTATGGAAAGGGGCTTCCAAAATAGTGGGAGTGGAAAAAGAAGCTAGGGAACTGTTTCTTCATGCACCAAATGCCTTCTCAGAGTACTAACATCTGTTTCAGTTTACATACTTTAAGTATGACTTTACACATGGAAATTAAACTTAGGCATCATGCCTAAGAAGAGGCCTGTCTGCAAAAGAACAACGTGTACTATCACCAGCTGGAATTTGTATAGGTCCACATTCTACAAGCACAATATCCTGTGAGCCGCAGTCCCAAAATCCAAATGTCACAAAACATCATCCTAACGTTCGTGAAATGTTTATAGTAGAGAGGGAAAAGACAGTGAGAAAGAGGAATATAATTGAGAAACAATATGGAGAAGTTCTAGAATTTAAGATGCAAGAAATACTTTTGTACATAAAGACCACTAAAAATCCAAAGATCTTTTTGCATTTATTTATATTAAGAAATACTCATTCTATAACATTCCACTAAGTTTATTTATTAGACATTTACAATATTTTTTGATTCACTAACAGAATAATTATAATCTCTGGTTAGGCAAGCATAATGCAAACCTGCAAAAATAATGATGCTCCTTTGCTGCCACCATGTGGTCTGTCTGTATTTTTGCAGTTGTGGCTTCAGTTTCTAAATAATTTCACACTTGGTTCTGAAGCCATCAACATCAGCTCAGATCTCTAGTATGAAAATACCATTAAAAACTTGAAGAATACAAGATCTTCTGCAATGTCATTTACATACCAATGAATTGCCAATCAATTGATAGTAAACAGGAGCCAACAATGTAGGAAGCATTGTATTATGTTACCTAGAAAAACAATACATTGTCTTGTGTTCAAAGAGCACACATCTCTTAACATCAAAACATAGAAAAATCAAGGACTAATACGCAGCGACTCAAGAATTATCATATAATTGGATGGCAGTGAGTCGTAAAGAAAACTTCCAAGTTCTCTGAGTGGAAAGTAGAAAGGTGCCTGAGAATGTTCGTGGAAGAGAATGGAAAAGTTGTATGGCTGTTAGAAGAGAGTTAGATAGATAGTATGAAAGCAAGAGAGCATTTTAGGTAGAGGTAACATTAAGTAAAGGTCCAGATGTAGAATCTTTAATGAATATTCACAGAATAATTTCTATAGTGAAGTTTATGAAGTCAAAACAAAGAAAATAGATTAGAAAGATAGGTCGGGTCAATTTATGACAAGCCTTTATTGCCAGACCAAGAAGCCTGGATTTTAGCCTATAGATCAGGGAAGCTATTGATTCAACATACAAATTTTTTCCCATTGTAGATATAATTCCTCTGCCACATGAACATCTATGAATGTATGTAAAAATAACTTATTTCCCAAACAGAGAATACTCCAGCAGTTAGGATCCTCTAATCACTCATCCCAAGTAAGTAATTTATGGTTACAAGAGCCCTGAAATCAAAGTCAACCAGTAAATCACTGCCAAATCTCCAGGGAAAAAAAATTAAATAAGTATTAAAAAGGATGACGACTGGGCCCAAGGAGATGTGAGACCTTCCTAATAGTCCACTGAGGTCTTCTGTTCTGAGAAGATAAGGTGTGCATTGCAGGGAAGAAGAAGAATTTTAACAAGGAAAACAAAAGAAATTTACGCTCATTAGAACCTTTCACAGCGAAGTACAATGTAATTTGTGTTAGGGAGGGGCCGGGTTCAGTAAAAAGGAATTAGCGGCCGGGACAGGCATGAAGTAGGACTCAGATGTCCAGGTAAAAGTAACAATCCCAGCATTGAATCCATTCACTTAAAATGATTGATGAAAGATTCACAAAAGAAAAACAGCTTCCTTGGCGTCATTTTTTTTTTTTTTTTTTTTTTTTTTGAGACTCAGTCTCGCTCTGTCACCCAGGCTGGAGTGCAGTGGCACAATCTCAGCTCACTGCAACCTCCGCATCCCGGGTTCAAGAGATTCTCCTGCCTCAGCCTCCCAAGCAGCTGGGATTACAGGCGCCCGCCACTGCGCCCGGCTAATTTGTGTATTTTTAGTAGAGACGGGGTTTCACCATGTTGGCCAGGCTGGTCTGGAACTCCTAACCTCAGGTGATCCGGCCACCTCCACCACCCAAACTGCTGGGACTACGGGCGTGAGCCACTGTGCCCGGCCTTGTGTGTCATATTTTATTGGATGCTATATTGATTTATTTTCAAAAATGAAGTTACAGAGCACCATGAGGAATAAGGAATCTCTGGAATAAAGTTCAAATAACAGCTCTTCAGTCTTCGCAAGTGTAAAATCAAAGGGGAAATTTACATACAACCCTCTTGAGGAAAAATAGTAATTATCAAAGAAATACTGTAAAAATTCATATTGTAAATATAAACATTTTCCTAATTGTAACATAATATGCACAGATGGTTCCTGCTCATTATTACAAAAACAGCTCTCTACATTAATATTCAAAATAGCAATACTCTTTCCTTTATTCTTGGACAGCTTTCAAACTGCTTTCTGGGACCCTAAAGACCCTAAGAATGTTTCCCTTCTAAGCTGGGCGCAGTGGTTCTCGCTGGTAATCCTAGCACTTTGGGAGGCCGAGGATCACTTTAGGTCAGGAGTTCAAGACCAGCCTGGCCAACACGGCAAAACCCCCGTCTCTACTAAAAATACAAAAATTAGCCAAGTGCGGTGGCATGCGCCTATAATCCCAACTACTCGAAGGCTGAGGCCTGAGAATGGCTTGAGCCCGGGAGACAGAGGTTGCATTGCAGTGAGCCGAGATCGCACCACCCCACTCCAGCCTGGGTGACAGAGTAAGACTCTGTCTCAAAAAAAAAAAAAAAAAAAAAAAGAATGTTTCCGTTCTAGAGTCTTCTACTCCTCAATGACTTTTCCTTAGGCAAAGGACACAACAGCATTAGATATTAACGTCTTTTCTTTAATTCTTATATTTTGTGGATACATAAAATTCATAGGCAGCGCTTCCTCCATATGACAGAAAAGCAAATATCCAAATATTAGAATTAAATAATAGGTGTGAACAAAAACAAAGGAATGATATTCCAAACTTCTATTAATAAGAAGCATTAGTGAACTATAGTGGAAAGAACTCTGGACTGGGTTTATCTTATTACTTTCTTTCTAGTCTCTTAAGTTAAAAACTTAATTATTTTCCATCGTCTTTGTGCTCTAATAAATGCCACTGAAAGATATAAACTTTCCTCTGAATATTGCTTTCTTTGCAGTTATGGTAAGTTAGCACTCCCATCATTTATTTCTAATAGTGATATGTTCTATTATGATGACATTTTAACTTCAGTTATTTAGGGTAAATTTTTTTAAATTTTCAAATAGATAATTTAATTTTGCTTTCCTCAATATTCTTTAGACAATTATTTATAATTTTGAATTTTCTTGAACCGTGGTCAGTAAATATGGCCTGCAGGATGTATGCTATTATCCTTTATGGTCTAAACGATGGTCTTTTTTTTAATATTCCATGTGCATTTCGGGAAAAAAGTATGTTGTCTATTGAATGTGTATGTAAATTAGATCAATCTAGTTAATTGTGTTATTGAAGAATTCTGCCTCTCTACATTTTTCTACTTGGTCAGTGGATTTGTAATTGTCAACTTCACCTTTAATTTCTATTGGTCCTGTTTTAAGTAGTTTGAAGCTATGTTGTTGAATCATAACATGTCCATAAAATATCTTCTTGATGGAATGGAATATATATACATTTTTCTTTTTTTTGGAGACAGTCTTGCTCTGTCGCCCAGGCTGGAGTGCAGTGGCACGACCTCGCCTCACTGCAAGCTCCGCCTCCCAGGTTCACGCCAGTCTCCTGCCTCAGCCTCCCAAGTAGCTAGGGCTACAGGCGCCTACCACCACACCCAGCTAATTTTTTTGTATTTTTAGTAGAGGCGGGGTTTCATCGTGTTAGCCAGGATGGTCTCGATCTCCTGACCTCGTGATCCTCCCACTTTGGCCTCCCAAAGTGCTGGGATTACAGGCGTGAGCCACTGCACCTGGCCAATGGAATATATTTTTAAGCAACATAAAAGTAACTGTTTGTTCCTTTGAAAATAATTTTCCCTGAATAATACTGATTTATTGTTAAAACTACATTCCTACAACAGGTGCTGGAGAGGATGTGGAGAAACAGGAACACTTTTACACTGTTGGTGGGACTGTAAACTAGTTCAACCATTGTGGAAGTCAGTGTGGCGATTCCTCAGGGATCTAGAACTAGAAATACCATTTGACCCAGCCATCCCATTACTGGGTATATACCCAAAGGATTATAAGTCATGCTGCTATACAGACACAAGCACATGTATGTTTATTGCGGCACTATTCACAATAGCAAAGACTTGGAACCAACCCAAATGCCCAACAATGATAGACTGGATTAAGAAAATGTGGCACATATACACCATGGAATACTATGCAGCCATAAAAAATGATGAGTTCATGTCCTTTGTAGGGACATGGATGAAGCTGGAAACTATCATTGCCAGCAAACTATCGCAAGGACAAAAAACCAAACACCGCATGTTCTCACTCATAGGTGGGAATGGAACAATGAGAACACATGGACACAGGAAGGGGAACATCACACACCGGGGACTGTTGTGGGGTAGGAGGAAGGGGGAGGGATAGCATTAGGAGATATACCTAATGCTAAATGACGAGTTAATGGGTGCAGCACACCAACATGGCGTATGTATACATATGTAACAAACCTGCACGTTGTGCACATGTACCCTAAAACTTAAAGTATAACAATAATAAAATTTTTTAAAAAAATCCTTTTATAGTATCTGTTATATTTTTTCCTGACTTTATTTCAAAACTTCTGTATTTTGTTCTAGACTATGTCTTTTGAAAACACATTTGTAGCCCACTGAATTTGCTCTCCTAATATTCTTTGTCTTTTTTTATTGGGTTGTTTAGGGGACTTTTGTTCAATGCATAAGATAAGAGCTTTTTAAATTATTAGACAAACCCTTTGTCATCTGCTTAAACATTTTTTTTCTAAATCTTTCATATGTTCACTTATTAATTTGTTTATGGTGTTTTTGCTACATAAAGGATTTTTATTTGTATAAAGTTAAAAATACATAGCTATTTTTTATGGCATAAGGATTACCAGCCTTGGTGAATAAGGTCATCTTTCCCCTAAATTTTAAACGTTCTTCTAGATTTCCTTGAAAATTTCCAATTGTTTTGATGTTGCGATTACTTAATTATTCCATCTGGAATTTATGGACTAAAACAGAAGTCTATTTTTATTTTATTGCAATTGTTAATCAGTTAAGATAGTACAACATATTACGGCATCACTAAATATGATTTCTTACAGAATTGATCTACCAACTTTGTCATATATAAAATTTCTGGAATCTATTTCTATATTAATTATTCCATTTTAATGATAATTTGTCTCTTTCTAGGATAATAGTGACTGTGACATGTTTTGATTTCTGGTAAGTTAAGTCTTCCTTACTATTCTTTTTTTTTCACATTTGGTTGACTATTCCATGGCTTTCATGTTTCTATATAAATTTCCAGATTATTTTGTTTAAACACAAATAAATCCCTGTTGGAATTCTAATTGGAACTGCATTTTAGTTATACATTAATTTGATGAGGGATTAATATTTTTATGATATATAACCTTCCCATTCAAGAATATAAAATGTTCTATTCACTATTTCTATATCAACTTTTTTTCATTCCCACATATGGATGAGAATATGAGATATTTGTCTTTCTTTGTCTGGCTTATTTCATTTAACGTGATGTCCTCCAGTTCCATCCATGTTGCTGCAAGTGACAGGATTTCATTCTTTTTATGGCTGAGTATTGTTCCATTGTGTGTGTGTGTATATATATATACACATACATATATGTGTATATATATATGCACACACACAATACTTTCTTCATTCATTGTTGGACACTTTGATTCCATATGTCAGCTATTATCATTAATGCTGCAATCATCATGGGAATGCAGATACCTCTTCAACATACTGACTTTGCTATTTAATTTATATTTATTTGTATTGAAATCTTGTTCATTTATTTTTTTAATTTGTAATATATTCATGTGGGACAGAATTCAAAATGTACAAAAGGAAGAGTTATCTTAAAAGATTATGAAGTATATGACTGATTTATGAACTCACCAATAATGAACAGCGAAAACACATGGATAAACAATTTGTAAAAGAAGAAAAAAAATGACATGTCTTTCCATTTGTTTAAATTTTCATTTTAATAAAAATTTGTTTTCTCAAATAATTTGTAATCTTCACTGTCATTTCCTGAAACTTTTCTATCATCTGCATAATGAGTTAATGGGGATATGATAAGAAAATCTTGAATGGTGGCACCAGTATCTATGACTCCTCCCTGAGGATGAAGTTTGGCTTTGGTTTATTATTTTGGAAAGGAGAAGGAGCTCCAAAAGTTATCACTTAGTCTTTTCTAACTCAGTGACCATGACCTACATGGAAAAAAGAGCTAAAATAGGATATCTGCTTTTGCTGAGTATACTATTCCAACTATAAGTTCAGGAACTGAGAAAATAACCACAGAACAGGTTTGTGGAGTCACTAGGCCCTTGTAAGATAGACATGGACACGAAGTCCATTTTCCTCTGATTTATGGAAAATAGTAGCTATGCAGGCCTTTAGAGATTATCAATAGTTCAGAGCCAGTATTAATATTCTCAGAGAAGTCTTTGTACTTCCTTTTCCCAGAGCACAATTATCCTGATAAATGGCCACTTGATCCTTTTAGGTAAGACTAGGGGAAAGATCTCTAGCATGTAATCTGATGTTATGGTTAGGTCTTTCCTCAGCAAGACTCAGTCCCTCTTTAATTCTAAGAATGAATACACCTGAGTATGGAAAATGAGAGAGGACCATAACCCAAGTCTGGGAATTGGGGGAGTAAATTTAGGCCTCTGTTCATAAGACCAAGGGATTTCTTGGCTATACAGATAAAGTATGACTTAGTGGGTGATCCAAATGTAATAGTTACAGGAACCTGAAGGCCAAATAGTTACCACCAAAACCCAAACCCCCAAGGGTAACCCACAATCAATACACAGAGCCCATCAGGAAAATCCTCTTGTTGATCCTCAGGAAGATGATTCTGAGAAGCATCTTCATGCTCTTTAAATGTTCTGGGTAGGACTGAGTCCACTTGCTCATGAGATGACCTCAATAATGTCCCTTATATTGACTTTTCTTTCTCTCATAATCTCTCTAGTCCCTCATTTCTGCTATCTAGAATTTATCTCCTAGTCTACCAATGTACAAGTTCTTATCCCTGGCCCTGTAAATTGCTAATTACAGTATTTTAACAATTAACAATGTACTCTACACGTACACAAAAGTCACTAATGCAGGAAAGAATACAATCATTAGTTTTCAATTTTTTTAGGCAATCTAGGAACAAGATGTTAAAATTCATCACAATATTACAAAACAAGTAGAACCACAACAACTGCCTGGAAATTGGTCTTGGTTTTATTTTTAAGGTTGAAAGTCAAATAAAAATAAAAAATTAGGCCAAGTACGGTGCTCACAACTGTAATCCCAGTACTTTGGGAGGCCAAGAGAGGAGGATCACTTGAGGTCAGGCATTCAAGATCAGCCTGGGTAACAGAGAAAGACCCCATGTCCACAAAATAATTTTTTTTTTAATTAACCAAGAGTGGTGGCACACGTCTATAGTCCTAGCTACTGGAAAGACTGAGGCAGGAGGATCGCCTGACCCCAGGACTTTGAGGCTGCAGTGAGCTATGATCCTACCACTGCACTTCAGCCTGGGCAACAGAGCAAGACCAAGAAAAGAAGAAAAACAGAAAAGAAAAGAAAAGAGAGGAGAGGAGAGGAAAGGAAAGGAAAGGAAAAGAGGTGAGAGGAGAGGAGGAGGAGGAGGAGAGGAGAGGAGAGGAGAAGAGGAGGAGGAGAAGAAGGAGAGGGGAGGAGAGGAAAGGAAAGGAAAAGAGGTGAGAGGAGAGGAGAGGAGAGGAGGAAGAGGAGGAGGAGAGGAGAGAGGAGGAGGAGGAGATGAGAGGAGGAAAAGAAAGAGAATAAGAAAGAGAGGGAAGGAAGGAAGGAAGGGAGGGAGGGAGGGAGAAGGAAGGAAGGAAGGAAGGAAGGGAGGGAGGAAAAATTACCAGTACCTTTAAAAACAGATATTAGAAATTCTCACTTTGGCTAATGCTGTCACACAATTCATTTTCAAACAGTGCATCCATTCTGCATGTTGAGTTCATGATTCCATGATTCCAAGTATTAATGGATAATGGAGAACTGATTTAATTCAGATTTTATGAATTATGAATTACTTAGTAAACATAATTAAATTTTAAGAATGAGGAAAAAAACCAGAGTAGACATCAGTGACATGTAATCAAGAATCTGGTGAAGTCCCACAGTATTTTGGAGAGCCAATTTGCTGTAAAATACAGGCATGAAAATAATACTGTATTATAGATGCCAGGAGTTTTCTCCATATTCACAATCATTTTAAGCAACTAGTCTCCAATCTCGATTAATTGTGCATCCCAATAGTTTTAAAAATAATTTTAGTATATGTCCCCCAAATATATGTATATTTATATATGTATAAATTAGATAAATAGGTCTGCACTAAAATATACAATATTTTAGTATTAAAATAAAATATAAATTTAAAAGAATGAAATCAGAGAAGCCACAAAGATAGATGAATGAAATCAGACCCTCAGTAGAGGCAGTGACTGACCACCCTACTCCAAAGGCAGAAAGACTATTCCTTAGAGCTTTCCTGTTCCCATCCTCCATCAGCCCCAACTATACTTTTTACAGTCTGTTTCCATAAGATTTCCCAAATCTCTTGTCCTCGCCACCTTTCAACTAAGAACATCAATTAAGGACATTTCTGTTTCTTACAACCAAATGATACCTAAAATAACATTTTACACGTAAACATTGTTCACTTATAAAGCATTGTTCTTGTCTTTAATTTAAATATATTTGAAATATTCTGATTAAAATAATGCTATTGTTTAATACTAAAGGAAACAGTAGAATAATCAGTATACTAATAAATTAATTTATTTTAAAAAGAGAGTTGTATGAGCTCACTAATCCAGGAATAATTTTAAAAGCTAAATTTGGCAATAAGCATTCTATTTCTTGCAATTTTTTTTAAAGTACTAATACTCTTTACTTAAAGATAAACACATGGCCCACCACACACCTACTAAATTAGGATATTTCTTTCTTATCTCTCTCCTGCTCTCAAATAACCTCACCTTACGAAACATAACTTGCAGGGAAAGGGAAGAGTAAGATGGCAGAATAGGACTCTCCACACAATCATCACCCCACAAAAAACATTAATTTGAACAACTATCCACGCACGAAATTACCTTCTCAAGTGCTAAGGAAAGGTGGTGAGAGATCACAGTACATGGTTATAGCATAATAATAATAAGAAAAGACACACTGAGGAGAGTAGGAAAGATAGTTTTATGTTACCTGCAGCACCCCTTCCCCAACCCCAGGTAGCACAGTGCAGTGAAAGCCACCATCTGCTTGGGGGAAAGAGAGAGAAGTAAGCAAAGGAATTTGCCATGGACACTAACACAGGGACCACCACAGTAAAAATCACTACCACACAGACCCCCACAGCCCCTGACTCCAGGCCAGTGCCCACAGACCTAGCCTCAATGACTGCCCAGGGACCAAGTGGGAACCACAGCTCCTGCAAGACAGACTCAATCTGCAGTCTGCATCACCACTGACCATCTACAGTGGCCTTGGGCCTTGGACAAATCTCAGTGGCAGACAGGAGGCAGACCTCAGCAGCTGTGGGCTTCACAGTCTTAGCAATGTACCAGCCTCTATGACTAAGGATTTCTAGCACATCCCAGCTCCACACCAGCTTCAGTAACCACAAGATTCCAGCCTGGCATTGTGCCAGCCATAGCAGTCCAAGCTTATGATGCTCCCTAGGACTGCAATGGCCACGGTGGTCCCAAGAATAGCAGCCATACCAGATGATCTGCCCAGAATCTCTGGACAGGCTTACTATTGGAAGGCATTCTTAGACAAATTCAGTCTATGAAGACTGGAATAAGTACCTACTTCTTCACATGTGCAGGCATTATCACATAGCCACAATGACCAAGAACATTTAGGAAAACATGACAACACCAGAGAGAAAAAATAAAGTGCCAGTGACTGGCCCTAAAGAGCTGGAGACATATGAACTGCCCGACAAAACATTTATAATAACTGTTTTCAGGAAACTTGGCAAACTTTAGGAAAATAGAGAGAGATAATTCAAAGAAATTAACAAAACAATAAGTGACCAGAATGAAAAATTTAACAGAGATTGAAATAATATTTTAAGAAACAGAAATTTTGGAACTAAAAAAATGCAATGAACAAAATGTAAAATATAATAAAGAGCTCAAACAGCAGAATTGATCAAGCAGAAGAAAGAATTTGTAAACTCAAAGACTTCAATACCCTGCTTTTAGCAATGAACAGATAATCCAGAAAGGAAATCAGTCAGAAAGCATAGTATTTAAACTACTATTTAGGTCAACTGAACCTAATGGACATATGCAGAACACACATTCTCTCAATGGCACATGGAGCACTCTCCAGTATAAATCATGTGTTAGGCTACAAAACAAGTTTTAAATTCAGTAAGATTGAAATCACATTAAGCATTTTTTCTGACCACCTGGTATAAAATTAGAAGTCAATAACAGGAGGAACTTCAGAAAATTCACCCAAGGCCAGGCGTGGTGGCTCACACCTGTAATTCCAGCATTTTGGTAGGCCAAGGCGAGCAAATCACGAGGTCAGGAGTTCGAGACCAGCTTGACCAACATGGTGAAACCCCGTCTCTACTAAAAATACAAAAATTAGCCAGGCATGATGGCACACGCCTATAATCCCAGCTACTCAGGAGGCTGAGGCAGGAGAATTGCTTGAACCTGGGAGGCGGAGGTTGTGGTGAGCCGAGATTGTGCCGTTGCACTCCAGCCTGGGCAACAAGAGCGAAACTCTGTCTCAAAAAAAAAAAAAAAAAGAAAGAAAAGAAAATTCACCCCAAAAAATGGATATTTAAAAACATACTGCTAAACAACAAATGGGTCAATGACAAAATTAAAAGGAACTTTAAAACATATCTTGAGACAAATGGAAATGAAAACACAATATCAAAAGCCATGGAGATGAAAGAAATCTACACTGAAAATCATATCAAAAGCTATGGGATATAACAAAAGCAGTTTTAAGAGGGAAGTTTTCAGCACTAAGTGCCTACATCAAAAAATAAAAATTTCAAATAAACAACCTAACATTGCACCTTAAGGAACTAAAAAAATAGGAAAAAATTAAGCCCAAATTTAGTAGAAAGAAGGAAATAATAAAGATCAGAAAAGAAATAAATGAAATAGAAACTAGGAAAATAATAGGAAATTTTTTTAATGAAGAGTTAGTATTTTGAAAAGATTAGAAAAAACATTTAGCTAGACTAAGGAAAAAAGAGAAGAAAACAAAAATAAAATTAGAAATGAAACAAAAAATATCACAGTGGATAACACATAAATACAAAGGATAATAAGAGACTATTATGAACAATTATATGCCAACAAATTGTGTAACACAGAGGAAATGGATAAATTCCTTGACACATACAAGATTGAACTATAAAGAAAAGGAAATTCTGAACAGATCAATAACAAGAAAAGTGATTGAATTTGTAATAAAATGTCACCTATCAAAGAAAAACCCAGGACCTGGTGGCTTCATTGCTGAATTCTACCAAACCTTTAAAGGATAATTAATACCAATCCTTCTCAAACTCTTCCAAAAAATTGGAGAGGAGGGAATACTAATAAATGTATTTTATGAGACTAGCATACCAAATCAGACGAGGGGGAAAAAAAAAAGCTACAGGCCAACATCCCTGAGGAACAAAGATGCAAAAATGCTCAACAAATTACCAGTAAAACAAATTAAATAGTATCTTAAAAAGATCCTTCACCATGATCAAGTGGGATTCATCCCAGAAATGCAAGGATGATTCAACATATGCAAATCAATAAATGTAATACACCACATTAACAGAATGAAAGACACAATTATATCATTTCAATATATTCAGAAAAAGCACTTGACAAAATTTAACATATTTTAATGATTAAAAAACTGTGAATAAATTAGGTACAAAAGAAATGTACCTTAACACAATAAAGGCCATAGCTAACAGAATATTCAATGGGGAAAAATTAAACCTTTTCTTTTAATACCTGGAACAAGACAAACATGCTTATTTTCACCACTTTTATTCAACATAGTACTGGAAGTTCTAATGAGCCGTTAGGCAAAGGAAAGAAATAAAAGCCATCCAAATTAGTAAGGAAGAAGTTGTCTCTATTTGCAGATGACATGACTTTATGTACTTTTTTTAAAAACTAAAAAATCTTCCAAATAATTGTTATAACTAATAAACAAATTCAGTAAAGATGCAGGATACAAAATCAACATACAAAAGTCAGTGGTACTTCAGCAATCTACTTGAAAGGGAAATCAAGAAAACAATTCCACTTATAGTAGCTACAAAAGAAATAAAATACTTAGAAATAAATTTAACCATGGAGATGAAAGAAATCTACACTGAAAATCATAAAACATTTATGAGATAAATTGAAGAAGGCATAAATAAACAGAAAGGTACTTGTATTCATGGACTGAAATAACTAATATTGTTACAATGTCCACACTACCCAAATATATTCAATGCAATCCTTATCAAAATAGCAATGGCATTCTTTACATAAAGAGAAAAAACATTCTAAAATTTGTGTGGAACAAAAAAAGACCTGATTAGCCAAAATCATCTTAAGCAAAAAGACCAAAGCTAGAGGCATCACAGTACCTGACTTCAAGATATATTACAAAGCTCTAGTAACCCAACAGCCGTGGTACTAACATAAAAACAGATATATATGCCAATGGAACAAAATAGCCCAGAAATAAATCTGCTCATTTGCAGCCAACTTATTTTTGACAAACTACACACAGTGGGGAAAGGACAGTCTCTTCAATAAATTGTATTGGGAAAAATGGACATCCTCATGCAAAGAAGGAAATTAGACTCTTATCTCACAGCACATGCAAAACCACAAGGAGGTATCATCTCACTTCTGTTAGAATGACTATTATCGAAAAGACAAAAGATAACAAAAGTTGGCAAAGATGTGAAGAAAAGGAAATTCTTGCACACTGTTGGTGGGAATGCAAATTAATACAACCATTATAGGAAACAATATGGAGTTTCCTCAAAAAATAAAAAAATGAAACTATTATATGATCGAGCAATCCCACTACTGGGTATATAGCCAAAGAAAATGAAATCAGTATGTCAAAGAGCTATCTGCACTCTCGTGTTTACTGCAAGCAACATAGCTGAGATATGGAATCAATTTAAGTATCCATAAACAGATGAATAGAATTTTTTAAAGTGGTATATATACACAATGAAATACTATGCAGCCATAAAATAAGAATAAAATTCTGTCATTTAATACAACACGGATAAACCTAGAGGACATTATGCAAAGTGAAATAAAACAGGTGCAGAAAGACAAATACCACATGATACAATTTGAATTTCTGTCCCCACCCCAATCTTATGTTGAAATGTAATCCCCAGTGCTGATTGTGGGGCCTTGTGGAAGGTGCTTGAATCATGGGGGCAGTTTCTCATGAATGGTTTACATCATCCCCCTGATGCTGTTCTCGTAACAGAGTTCTCATGAGATCCAGTTGTTTAAAAGTGTGTAGCACCTCCCTCCCATTCTTGGTCCTGCTCCTGCCATGTAAGATGCCTCACTCCCCCTTTGCCTTCTGCTATAATTGCACATTTCCTGAGGCCTCCCCAGAATCTGAGCAGATGCCAGAATTATGCTTCCTGTATAGCCTGTGGAATCCTGAGCCAATTAAACTTCTTTTCTTTATAAATCACCCAGTCTCAGATATTTCCTTATAGCAGTAAATACAGAAAATTGGTATTCAAGAGTGAGGCATTGCTATAAAGATACCTGATAATGTGGAAATGACTTTGAAACTGGGTAATGGGCAGGTTGGAAGAGTTTGGAGAGCTCAGAAGAAGACAGGAAGACAAGGGAAAGTTTGGAACTTCCTAGAGACTTGATAAGTTGTTATGACCCAAATGCTGATAGTGATATGGACAAGGAATTCCAGACTGAGGAGGTCTCAGATAGAAATTAGGACCTTACTAAGCTAAAGGGAAAAGTCAAGCTGGGAACTGCTTAGGACTGCCTCCCATTCTATTCAAAGTCACCCCTCTGCTCACTGAGATAAATACATTTCTAATTGCATCCTTTGGGGAGGCTAATCAGAAACTCAAAAGAATGCAACCACTTGTCTCTTATCTGCCTATGACCTGGAAGCCCCCTCCCTGCTTAAAGTCTTACCATCTTTGCTTCGAGTTTTCCCATCTTTTCAGACGGAACCACTGTTCATCTTACATATGTTGATTGATGTCTCATGTCTCCATAAATGTAAAGCCAAACTGTGCTCTAACCACCTTGGGCACATGTCATCAGGACCTCCTGAGGCTGCGTCATGAGCATGTGTCCTCAACCTTGGCAAAATCAACTTTCTAAATTAACTGTCTCAGATTTTCAGGGTTCACAAACTTCAGTAAAGGTCACTTCCGCTATGCTTTAGCAAAGAATCTGGCTGTATTGTGCCCTGCTCTAGCGATGTGTGGAACTTAGAACTTAAAAGGGATGATTTAGTGTATCTGGCAGAAGAAATTTCTAAGCAGCAAAACATTCAAGATGTGACCTGGCTACCTCTAACAACCTATGCTTCTATGCATGAGCAAAGAAATGACCTAAAACTGAAACTTATATCTAAAAGGGAAGCAAAGTGTAAAAGTTTGGAAAATTTGCAGCTTTGCCATGTAGTACAAAAGAAAAGCCCATTTTCAGGGGAGGAATTGAAGCAGCCTGCAGAAATTTGCATAACTAAAAGGAAGGCAAGTGCTGATAGCCAAGACAATGGGAGAAAGACCTCAAAGGCATTTCAGAGACCCTCATGACAGCCCCTCCCATCACAGGCCCAGATGTCTAGGAGGGAAGAATGGTTTATTGGGCCAGGCCCAGGGCCCCTCTGCCCCATGCAGCCTCAGGAAACTGTTCCCTACATCGTAGCCACTCCAGCTCCAGCTGTAGCTCAAAGGGGCTCAGGTACACCTCAGGCTATTGCTTCAGAGAGCGCAAGCTGTAAACCTTGGTAGCTTCCACATGGTGTTAAACCTGTAGGTGCACAGAGTCCAAGAGTTGAGGCTTGGGAGCCTCTGCCTAGATTTTAGAAAACGTATGGAATAGCCTGAATGTCCAGGCAGAAGCCAGCTGCAGGGGCAGAGCCCTCACGGAGACCCTTTACTAGGACAATGCAGAAGGAAAATGTGGGGTTGGAGCCCCCACACAGAATCCCCAATGGGGCACTGCCTAGTGGAGCTATGAGAAGAGGACCACCATCCTTCAGACCCCAGAATTGTAGCTCCACCAACAGCTTGGATCATGCATCTGGAAAAGCCACAGACATTCAATGCCAGCCCATGAGAGCAGCCAGAGTGGGTGAACCCTGCAAAGCCACAGGGACAGAGCTTCCCAAGGCTTCGGGAGCCCACCTTTTGTACCAGCATGCCCTGAATATGGGACAAGGAGTCGAAATACATTATTTTGGAGCTTTAAGATTTAATTACTTTAAGCTCTCAACCCCCTGCTGACTTTCAGACTTGCACAGGCCTATAGACTCTTTCTTTGGCTGATTTCTCCCTCGGAATAGAAGTAATTACCCAATACCTGCCCTGCTGAGTTTCAGACTTGCATGGGGCCTGTAGCCCCTTGGTTTTGGCCAATTTCTTACATTTGGAATGAAAGCATTTACCCAATGCCTTTACCCCCATTGTATCTTGAAAGAAACTAGCTTGTTTTTTATTCTACAGGCTCATAGGCAGAAGGGACTAGTCTTGCCTCAAAGGAGACTTTGGACTGTGGACTTTCGAGTTAATGCTAGACTGAGTTAAGACTTTGGGCCATTGTTGGGAAGGCATGATTGTATTTTGAAATGTGAGAGGGGCATGAGATTTGGGAAGCGGCAGGGTGAAATGATATGGTTTGGTGTGTGTACCTGCCCAGATCTCATGTTAAAATATAATCCCCAATGCTGGAGGTAGAAGGTGACTGAATCATGGGGGTGGTTTCTCATGAATTATTTAGCCCTATACCCCTAGTGCTATTCACATGATAGAGTTCTCATGATATCTGGTTGTTTAAAACTGTGAGCCAGGCATGGTGGCTCACACCTGTAATCCCAGCACTTTGGGTGACCAAGGCAGGTGGATCATGAGGTCAGGAGTTTGAGACTAGCCTGGCTAACATAGTGAAATCCCATCTCTACTAAAAATACAAAAATTAGCTGGGTGTGGTGGCACGCACCTGTAGTCCCAGCTATTTGGAAGGCTGAGGCAGGAGAATTGCTTGAACCCAGGAGGCGGAGGTTGCAGTGAGCCAAGACTGTGCCACTGCACTCCAGCCTCAGTGACAGAGTGAGACTCCGTCTGAAAAAAAAAATAAAAAAGTATGAAGCACTTCCCCATCTCTCAGTCCTGCTTTTGCCATGTAAGATGTCTCACTCTCCCTTTGCCTTCTGCCATGATTGCAAGTTTCTGAGGCCTCCCAGAAGCTGAGCATATGCCAGAATTATGCTTCCTGTACAGCCTGCAGAACCATGAGCCAATTAAACCTATTTTCTTTATAAATTATCCAGTACCAGCTATTTCTTTATAGCAGCACAAGAATGGCCTAATACACCACATGATCTCACTCATAATGAGGCAACTTAAAAAGTCAATGTCAAAAAATAGAAAGTAGAATGGTGGTTACCAGAGGCTGCAGTGATTGTGGGAGTGGTTGTTAGGGAGATTTTGGTCAAAGAACACAAAATTACAATCAGGCCGGAAGAATAAATTCAAGAGGGCTATTGTACAGCATAGGGACCATAATAAATGGCAATATGTTGCACTCTTGAGGAATGCTAAGAGAGTCAATGTTAAGTGTTCTCAACACAAAAATGATAACCATGTGAGTTGATACATATATATTAATTAGGTAGGTTTAACCATTCCACAAGGTATATGTGCTTCAAGTCATCGTGTTGTACATAATAAATACATAGAATTTTATCTGTCAATTTTTAGAAAGTGTTAAATTTAAAAAAAAGAAAGGAATAACTTACAGCATCAGTATCTAAATCCTTGTGGTCCTCAGCTTCATCTTCTGTGTCCCAAATTCTTATGTGGGAGAATTTGATTGGCTCCTTGGTTCACATACCCTCTCTAATTACCTGTGTCTTGGAGGGATTTCTCTGAGACAGTGGTTTCAAAGAAGGTTGACTCTAAGGTGATGCCTGGGGGTATGAGATTTTAAAAGTATAACTTCAGTTTCACCTTCATTGCTTATTTCATTTACTTCTCATCTGGCAGGTTCAGGGGTTGCCCTACTTAAGAGTCTCATGTCCCACAAGACACTATATCTCTTGTAGCAACTCCACAGGCTTCCAGGATTCACATGAGAGACATACCCAATTACAAGAGTTAACACACTCAGGGAAGCCCAAATTATAGCACTCTCATCAGATATTTATGGGACATTTATAATTCCTCCTTGTTTAGTTGCAATTTATCAATCAGGGATAATATTACCATAGGCAATATTGACTGTAACATAGTTGACATTCTATCTTCAGGTATTTATGGGACATTTATAACTCCTTCTTGTTTGGTTGCAATTTATCATTCAGGGATAATATTACTGTAGGCAATACTGACTGTAACATCGTTGACATTCTATCTTCATCTGATTTCCAGTGGAACAGAGAGAAAATTAAGTGAAGGTCACATTCTTATGGTATAAAAGGAAAAGGCTTTATTAATTTTTACTAACTCTCCCCCACAGTTAGTTCTTTAATGTATTTACTGGCATTGACAGATTTGCTTTGAAGTTGCTCTCAAAGAAGTAAAACACGGGCCACAGCATATTAGTGGAGTTAGGCCAACTCCTCTCCCTTGCACTGCACCTACCTCCCAATTCTCCTGCCCAAGAATGTTTAGGGAATATCTTGATTATCCATAAATATCACAACTTGCACAGGACTCTGAAGTCCTACAGAAAGAAAACTATCCCTATTCACAGTTGAGTTGAGATATAGATACTCATCTAATGGAGGGGTTCTAAAGAAGATGTGTGAAACAAAGGAAGCTAAACTAAAAGGAGATACAGCTACATGAGTGAGAGGAAAAGATACCCAGGACTAACAAAGATGTTAGGGCCTGAGGTCACCTCACCCAGGAAACACAAGGGGTTGGGGGATTTCCCTTTGCTAGCCAAGGGAAGCCATGACAGACTGTACCTGGAAAAACAGGACACTCCTGGCCAAATACTGTGCTTTTCCCAAGGTCTTAGCAACTGTCAGACAAGGAGATTCTCTCCTGTGCCTGGCTCCGCAGGACCCACACCCACGGAGCATTGCTCACTGCTAGTGCAGCAGTCTGAGATCAAACTCAGCCTGGCTGGAGGAGGGGCATCCTCCATTGCTGAGGCTTGAGTAGGTAAACAAAGCAGCCAGAAAGCTTGAACTGGGTGGAGGCCCACTGCAGCTCAGCAGGGCCTACTGCCTCTATAGACTCCACTTCTGTGGGCAGGGCATAGCTGAACAAAAGGCAGCAGACAACTTCTGCAATCTGGCAGCTCTGAAGAGAGCAGTGGTTCTCCCAGCATGGTGTTTGAGCTCTGAGAACAGACAGACTGCCTCCTCAAGTGGGTCCCTGACCCCTGTGTAGACTAACTGGGAGACACCTCCCAGTAGGGGCCTACAGACACCTCATATAGGTGGGTGCCCCTATGGGACAAAGATTCCAGAGGAAGGATCAGGCAGCAATATTTGCTATTCTGCAATATTTGCTGTTCTGCAGCCTCTGCTGGTGATACCCAGGCAAACAGGGTCTGGAGTGGACCTCCAGCAAACTCCAACAGACCTGCAGCTGAGGTACCTATTAGAAGGAAAACTAACAAACAGAAAGGAATAGCATCAACATCAACAAAAAGGATATCTACACCAAAACCCCATCTGTAGGTCACCAACATCAAAGACCAAAGGTAGATAAAACCAAAAAGATGGGGAGAAACAAGAGCTGAAAAACTGAAAATTCTAAAAACCAGAGTGCCTCTTCTCCTCCAAAGGATCGCAGCTCCTCACCAGCAACAGAACAAAGCTGGACAGAGAAAGACTTTGATGAGTCGACAAAAGTAGGCTTCAGGAGGTCAGTAATAACACACTTCTCCGATCTAAAAGAGCATGTTTTAACCCATCACAAAAAAAGCTAAAAACCTTGAAAAAAGGTTAGTTGAATGGCTAACTAGAATAAACAATGTAGAGAAGACCTTAAATGACCTGATAGAGCTGAAAACCATGCCACAAGAACTTCATGACACATGCACAAGCTTCAATAGCTGATTCAATCAAGTGGAAGAAAGGGTATCAGTGATTCAAGATCAAATTAATGAAATAAAGCGAGAAGACAAGGTTAGAGAAAAAAAGAATAAAAAGAAACGAACAAAGCCTCCAAGAAATATGGGACTCTGTGAAAAGACCAAATCTACGTCTGATTGGTGTACCTGAAAGTGATGGGGAGAATGGAACCAAGTCCGAAAGCACTCTTCAGGATATTATCCAGAAGAACTTCCCCAACCCAGCAAGGCAGGCCAACATTCAAATTCAGGAAATATAGAGAACACCACAAAGATACTCCTCGAGAAGAGCAACCCCAAGACACATAATTGTCAGATTCACCAAGGTAGAAATGAAGGAAAAAATGTTAAGTGCAGTCAGAGAGAAAGTTCAGGTTACCCACAAGAGGAAGCCCATCAGACTAATAGCAGATCTCTCAGCAGAAACCCTACAAGCCAGAAAAGAGTGGGCGACAGTATTCAACATTCTTAAAGAGAAGAATTTTCAACCTAGAATTTCATATCCAGCCAAACTAAGCTTCATAAGTGAAGGAGAAATGAAATCCTTTACCGACAAGCAAATGCTGAGAGATTCTGTCACCACCAGGCCTGCCCTACAAAGCTCCTGAAGGAAGAACTAAACCAGTACCAGCCACTGCAAAAACATGCCAAATTGTAAAGACCATCAATGCTAGGAAGAAACTGCATCAATTAACGGGCAAAATAACCAGCTAACATCATAATGACAGGATCTAATTCACACATAATTATATTAACGTTAAATGTAAATGGGCTAAATGCCCCAATTAAAAGACACGGACTGGCAAATTGGATAAAGAGTCAAGACCCATCAGTGTGCTGTATTCAGGAGACCCATCTCACATGCAGAGACACACATAGGCTCAAAATAAAGGGATGGAGGAAGACCTACCAAGCAAATGGAAAGCAAAAAAAGCAGGGGTTGCAATCCTAGTCTCTGATAAAACAGACTTTAAACCAACAAATATTAAAAGAGACAAAAATGGCCATTACATAAAGGTAAAGGGATCAAATCAACAAGAAGAGCTAACTATCCTAAATATATCTGCACACAATACAGGAGCACCCAGATTCATAAAGCAAGTCCTTAGAGACCTACAAAGAGACTTAGACTCCCACACAATAATAATGGGAGACTTTAACACCCCACTCTCAATATTAGACAGATCAATGAGACAGAAAGTTAACTAGGATATTCAGGAATTGAACTCAGCTCTGCACCAAGTGGACCTAATAGGCATCTACAGAACTCTCCACCCCAAATCAAAAGAATATACATTATTCTCTGCGCCACATCGCCCTCATTCTAAAATTGACCACATAATTGGAAGTAAAACACTCCTCACCAAATGTAAAAGAACAGAAATCACAACAAATGGTCTCTCAGACCACAGTGCAATCAAATTAGAACTCAGGATTAAGAAACTCACTCGAAACCGTGCAACTACATGGAAATTGAACAACCTGATCCTGAATGACTACTAGGTAAATAACGAAATGAATGCAGAAATAAAGATGTTCTTTGAAACCAATGAGAACAAAGATAAAACGTACCAGAATCTCTGGGACACATTTAAAGCAATGTGTAGGGAGAAATTTATAGCACTAAATGCCCACAAGAGAAAGCAGGAAAGATCTAAAATCGACACCCTAACATCACAATTAAAAGAACTAGAGAAGCAAGAAGAAACAAATTCAAAAGCTAGCAGAAGGCAAGAAATAACTAAGATCAGAGCAGAACTGAAAGAGATACAGACACAAAAGACCCTTCAAAAAATCAATGAATCCAGGAGCTGGTTTTTTGAAAAGACCAACAAAATTGATAGACCACTAACAAGACTAATAAAGAAGAAAAGAGAGAAGAATCAAATAGATGCAATAAAAAATGATAAAGGGGATGTCACCACCAATCCCACAGAAATACAAAGTACCATCAGAGAATACAATAAACAACTCTATGCAAATAAACTAGAAAATCTAGAAGAAATGGATAAATTCCTGGACACATACACCCTCCCAAGACTAAACCAGGAAGAAGTTGAATCTCTGAATAGACCAATAACAGGCTCTGAAATTGAGGCAATAATTAATAGCTTACCAATCAAAAAAAGTCCAGGACCAGATGGATTCACAGTCGAATTCTACCAGAGATACAAGGAGGAACTGGTACCATTCCTTCTGAAACTATTCCCATCAACAGAAAAAGAGAGAATCCTCCCTAACTCATTTTATGAGGCCAGCATCATCCTGATACCAAATCCTGGCAGAGACACAACAAAAAAAGAGAATTTTAGACTAATATCCCTGATGAACATCGATGCAAAAATCCTCAATAAAATACTGGCAAACCAAATCCAGCAGCACATCAAAAAGCTTATCTGCCATGATCAAGTTGGCTTCATCCCTGGGATGCAAGGCTGGTTCAACATACACAAATCTATAAACTTAATCCATCACATAAATAGAACCAATGACAAAAACCACATGATCTCAATAGACGCAGAAAAGGCCTTCGAAAAAATTCAACAGCCCTTCATGCTAAAAACTCTCAATAAATTAGGTATTGATGGGATGTATCTCAAAATAATAACAGCTATTTATGACAAACCCACAGCGAATATCATACTGAATGGGCAAAAACTGGAAGCATTCCCTTTGAAAACTAGCACAAGACAGGGATGCCCTCTCTCACCACTCCTATTCAACATAGTGTTGGAAGTTCTGGCCAGGGTAATCAGGCAAGAGAAAGAAATAAAGGGTATTCAATTAGGAAAATAGGAAGTCAAATTGTCCCTGTTTGCAGATGACATGATTGTATATTTAGAAAACCCCATTGTCTCAGCCCAAAATCTCCTTAAGCTGATAAGCAACTTCAGCAAAGTCTCAGGATACAAAATCAATGTGCAAAAATCATGAGCATTCTTATACACCAATAACAGACAGAGAGCCAAATCATGAGTGCACTCCCATTCACAATTGCTTCAAAGAGAATAAAATACCTAGGAATCCAACTTACAAGGGATGTGAAGGACCTCTTCAAGGAGAACTACAAATCACTGCTAAACGAAATAAAAGAGGACACAAACAAATGGAAAACCTTTCCACGCTCATGGAGAGGAAGAATCAATATTGTGAAAATGGCCATACTGCCCAAGGTAATTTATAGATTCAATGCCATCCCCATCAAGCTACCAATGATTTTCTTCACAGAATGAGAAAAAACTACTTTAAAGTTCATATGGAACCAAAAAAGAGCCCTCATTGCCAAGACAATCCTAAGCCAAAAGAACAAAGCTGGGGGCATCACGCTACCTGACTTCAAACTATACTACAAGGCTACAGTAACTAAAACAGCATGGTACTGTTACCAAAACAGAGATATAGACCAACGGAACAGAACAGAGGCTCAGAAATAACACCACATGTCTACAACCATCTGATCTTTGACAAACCTGACAGAAACAAGAAATGGGGAAAGGATTCCCTATTTAATAAATGGTGCTGGGAAAACTGGCTAGCCATATGTAGAAAGCTGAAACTGGATCCCTTCCTTACACCTTATACAAAAATTCATTCAAGATGGATTAAAGACTTAAATGTTAGACCTAAAACCATAAAAACCCTAGAAGAAAACCTAGGCAATACCATTCACGACATAGGCATGGGCAAGGACTTCATGATTAAAACACCAAAAGCAATGGCAACAAAAACCAAAATTGACAAATGGGATCTAATTAAACTAAAGAGCTTCTGCATAGCAAAAGAAACGACCATCAGAGTGAACAGGCAACCTACAGAATGGGAGAAAATTTTTGCAATCTACCCATCTGACAAAGGGCTAATATTCAGAATCTACAAAGAACTCAAACAAATTTACAAGAAAAAAACAAACAACCCCATCAAAAAGTGGGCAAAGGATATGAACAGACACTTCTCAAAAGAAGACATTTATGCAGCCAACACACACATGAAAAAATGATCACCATCACTGGCCATGAGAGAAATGCAAATCAAAACCACAATGAGATACCATCTCACACCAGTTAGAATGACAATCATTAAAAAGTCAGGAAACAACAGGTGCTGGAGAGGATGTGGAGAAGTAGGAACACTTTTACACTGTTGGTGGGACGGTAAACTAGTTCAACCATTGTGGAAGACAGTGTGGCGATTCCTCAGGGATCTAGAACTAGAAATACCATTTGACCCAGCCATCCCATTACTGGGTATATACCCAAAGCATTATAAATCATGCTGCTATAAAGACACACGCACACGTTATGTTTATTGCGGCACTATTCACAATAGCAAAGACTTGGAACCAGCCCAAATGTCCATCAGTGATAGACTGGATAAGAAAATGTGGCACATATACACCATGGAATACTATGCAGCCATAAAAAAGGATGAATTCATGTCCTTTGTAGGCACATGGATAAAGCTAGAAACCATCATTCCCAGCAAACTATCACCAGGATAAAAAACCAAACACCGCATGTTCTCACTCATAGGTGGGAATTGAACAATGAGAACACTTGGGCACAGGAAGGGGAACATCACACACCTAAAACCATAAAAACCCTAGAAGAAAACCTAGGCAATACCATTCAAGACATAGGCATGGGCAAGGATTTCATGATTAAAACACCAAAAGCAATGGCAACAAAAACCAAAATTGACAAATGGGATCTAATTAAACTAAAGAGCTTCTGCACAGCAAAAGAAACTACCATCAGAGTGAACAGGCCACCTACAGAATGGGAGGTGCCTGTTGTGGGGTGGGGGGAGCGGGGAGGTATAGCATTAGGAGATATACCTAATGTAAATGACGAGTTAATGGGTGCAGCACACCAACATGGCACATGTATACATATGTAACAAACTTGCACATTGTGCACATGTACCCTAGAACTTAAAGTACAATAATAATAAAAAAAGATACATGCATGTATATGTTCACTGTAGCACTATTTAAAATACTGAAGACGTGGAATCAACCTAAATGCCCATCAATGATAGACTGGATGAAGAAAATATGGTACATATACACTATGGAATACTATGCAGCCACAAAAAGGAACAAGATCATGTCCTTTGCAGGGACATGTATGGAGCTGGAAGCCATTATCCTCAGCAAACTAACACTGAAACAAAAAAAACAAACACCACATGTTCTCACTTATAAGTGGGAGGTGGTGATGAGAATACATAAACTCATAGAGGGGAACAACACACACTGGGGCCTGTCGCAGGGGTGGCCGAGTGGAGGGAGAGCATCAGGAAGAATAGCTAATTTGATGCTAGGCTTAGTGCCTAGGTCATGGGTTGATCTGTTCAGCAAACCACCATGGCACACATTTACCTATATAACAAACCTGCACATCCTGCGCATGTACCCTGGAACTTAAAATAAAAGTTGATTTAAAAAAAAAGAGAGAGAGAAAGTCTGAACGAGATAGTCTTTGAAGCAGACACCACTGTGTTCCAAGATCAGCGCTACTGATTATAAGCAGAATGATCTAGGGTAAGTTAGCATAGTAAGTCTTAGGTTTTTCACCTATAGAACAGAAATATCACCTCCAGGGCTGTTGAGATAATTAGAAATATATGAAGCATCAAGCACGTGGCTGGCCCGTGGGAGGCACCAACTGAGAGCCATTTGTATATAGAGCTGCCATTAGATTATTTTTTAAAGTAGTACTTCTCAAACTTAAATATGCATAGGAATCACCTGCAGATCTTGTTAGAATGCAGATTCTGATCCCACATATCTGGGTAGGGCATGAGTTTCTGCATTTCTAACAAGCTCCCAGGTGACACTGCTGTTGCTGGTCCACGGACCACACTTTGTGCAACAACATTTCAAACCATTCTAAAATTTCGCTTTAGCCACTGGGTACAAGAGATCATACAATTTTAATCTATGGGTTTAATCATAGCCAAAACAGAAAAGGTGTAATTATAACCATGAGAACTGTTAACCTTAAATGGAACATAACCCGCTTGTGATAATCATCACTTAACTGCCTGAGGTTCCTAGGGCAGAGGTATACAAGAGAGAAAGTGCAGAATGAAAAATATATGGGATAGATAAGGATTTCAGCATCATAGGAAACCTAAGAAGAGATAAAAATTGCACCATCATTAGGGAATGAGGAAACATAGCAGAGCCCAAGGGCCTATCACTAAGTAATTCATGACATTAATACAAAATCGATGTAATCTGCTTGAAGATGTCTCCTATGTACATTATGCAGGGTAGTGGTGTGAAATACTGTACATGGTGTTTATATCTGTTGAAGGGAACAGAAACATACATGAAGATACTAAGCAGTAAAAATGTGACTAAATCCTTCTCACTAATGGGAAAGCTTTTAAAAATTTTATTAAATAAAAAATAAATAAAAATAAAAATTTTAAAAGAGAATGCTCAAAACTCAACAAGAAGATAACCAATAAAGCAATGCGTGAAGGACTTGATGACACTTCACCAAAGAGGATATAAAATGATGCTCAGCATTAGTCATTAGGGAAGTGAAAATTAAAACCACAATGAAATACCACTACAAACTTATTATGATGGCTAAAATAAAAAAAAAAAACCTTGACAATACCAAGTCCTGACAAGGGTGTAAAGTAACTAAAACTTTCATACATTACTTATGGAAATGCAAAAATAGTACAGTAACTCTGGGAAAAAAAGAGTTTGGCAATTTCTTAAATAAACATACACTTATGATTTGAGCAATCTCATTTGCTGGTATTTATCCTAGAAAAATAAAAGCTTATGTTCACACATAAACCTACATATGAATGTTTAGAGAAGTATTATGCATAATTTCTAAAACCTGGGGGTAAAACACATTCAACAAATAAACTGTGAAATAGCCATACAATGGAATACCACTCAGCAATATAAAGCACTGATGCACATAACATAAATGCAATATGCTAACTGAAAGAAGCTAGACTGAAAAGGTTACATACTATATGATACCATTTATACATGGCTTTCTGGAAAAGGCAAAACTAGGGATGGAGAACATTAGTGGTTGCCAGGGGATAGGTCTTGGGGAGGGGAAGGAGAAATACTGGGGAATTCTTTGAGGTGCTGGAATTCTTCTGTATCCTATTTGTGATGGTGGATACGATAATTTGTGCATCATAGATATCAAAGAAAGCAGATTTTATTGTATGTAAATTTTTAAAATTAGCCTAATCGTTTCACTTTTTAACACAAAGGCTACACTGTCTTCAATTTCAGAGTAAAACCCAAAGCTGTTACAATGATCTAGGAGACCCTATGAACTGGCCTCTTATTACCTCTCTGACCTCACCTTTTACTATACCCCCTTGATGATTATTCTCCAGCCACACTGGCCTCTTGACTTATCTTGAACATGGAAAGGAATACTCTTTCCTCTGGCTGACTCTTTCACCAAACAGCTCCATGCTTATTCACACTCTCAACCTTTTCAGGTTATTTCAAATGTTACCTTCTCAGTAAGGCTTTCCCTGAAAACCCATAATAAAGGTGATCAAACCCTTATAATCACTTTCTTTTCTACTTTGAGTTTCCCCTTGGCACATAAATACATCAAAAGTATAATAAGTTTTTGTTTCTTCCCATGATAAGGTAAGGTCCAGTAACATACAGATTTTGTTAACTATTTTTCTCACTCCAGTATTCCCAGAGCCTGAAAGAATGTCTGGCATATACTAGGCACTTAGTAAATATTTCCTGGATGGAAGATGCCAAATAAGTGTTTCTGGAAAATCCTTTTCCTTCTGTATATAGGCTATGCTCTTTCTTGCTATTCCCTTATTTCTTCTAACTGAAAGGAACATGAACTGTGAGCATAAGGACAAAACCAATATGGTTAAGGACAATAACACAAAGAACAAAGTAGAGAAAGCACAGGTCCCTGGTGGCATGAATGATCCACTGCACTAGCCCTATTCTGCCTACCTCAGCCTTCTTGTTACATGATAAAGACAACGCACTATTAATTAAACAGCTGTAGGTGGGATTGGTTCCTTAAAAATTATGTAAAAAGAAATCAAAATACAAATGACTTATCTTTCTGGGCACTTCAGTAAATTAAAACTCTGTGTAAAATAATCCTCCTATACATTTATCAATCCAGCTAGTTTTTGTCCATATCAGGATTTCTGATTCTTTTCTGAAAAATCTAAAGTTACCATACAGTAACATACAACTAAAGTCACACTAATTTGAGTGAAAATATTTATTTTGTTTCTTGGCTCAGGCCCTAAGGAAAAGCCTGTATCAGGTTACAAAGTACCCAACAAAGTCTTTAAAAGATTTATTGTGCATACATCAAGAGACTAAACAAAAAGAGGTTAAGGCTGCAGAATCAAAAGTGATATTTTACACTCCATCCACTGTGACAAAGGGTATCACAGTCATGAAAGAGAAAGCTGGTTACAGCTTGAGATAAACCAAAATTATTAAATATCTCCCTTTCTAGTTCTGGCTCCCCAAATAATAAAGTTTTGAGCACTTTAATAAGCTAGACTCCTCAGTAAAAAGTAAATTTATCCCTGATTTTTACAGTGGTGCTGTCCCAGGATATGTCTTGACCTTTGTGAATATTGTATTTCTCCACCATAAATAAACTTATAGGTATAATCATGTGTGGCTTAATGATGGGGATATGTTCTAAGAAATGCATTTTAGGTGATTTCATCATTGTGTGAATATCACAGAGTGTACCTACACAAACCTAGATGGTACAGCCTACTACACACCTAGGCTGTACGTTATAGCTGATTGCTCCTAGGCTACAAATCTGAACAACATGTTACTGTACTCAATATTGCAGGCAATTGTAACAGAATAGTATTTGTGTATTTAAACACATAAAAGGTACAGTAAAAACACAGTATTATAATCTTACGGAATCACCATGTTATATGCATTGATTGAAAGATCCTTATGTGACATGTGACTATATTTGAGACCTTGGTAATTTTGTGGTAAATCCACAAATCAAGAAGCGAAATCAAAATAGGCAACATAATATACAGGGTCCAAGAATATGATACGTGTAAGTTTACAAAGGAAAACTGGAGATAAACTGGCAAAAATAAACATGTTGAGATTTTAGGGGTTCCTAACCCACAGATTCTATTCACTAATGGGAAAAGGTAAAACTCAGGAAACCAGAGACCAGCGCCCTGAAACCTGGCGGGACTGGCCGAATGTCAGATTAGCCCGAGCAGCTACACTGAACGCTGCGGAAGATGCACCAGAATCCCGGAGTAGGAGCCAGATTTCCAAAGGAAGAAAGCTAGGCCCTAGGACTGTGGAGATTCTGTAGTAACCTAAGCGATGTTCACAAGAACAGAAGAACGGCTAATGAGAGGAACAAAAAGCTGTACAAGGAAGAGAAAGCTACCTTTCCACCCAATAACTCAACGCTGCGACCGAGAAAACCAGGGACGCGAGAGGCTCGCGTCATCCTGCAGCGCCGACACCACAGACACTAGAAAGCGACGCCTCCGGTGGGACGACTGGAGGTCACGTGGTACACTATACGCCACCTTTCCCTTCTGGCGGAAAAAGCCATAGAGTCAGGTTGACAAGGCCTGAGAGAAATATGTCTGTATTAAATAATTGTGTATAGGTATATAATAAAAACTGATTGTCTCTAAATCTCTGTTTTGCTTTCACCTTTTCTTACAAGTGTCTTAGTTTGACATTGCCCACACAAAAGGTGCCTGCACGGAAGCGGAGTCCTACCACCGAGTCTCAGGCCTAGAAGGGCCCGGGGGTGGGTTCTGTGGGCTGGGAACAGCCTTATTACCCGGCTCAACGAAGGAAGTTCAGGGCGGGACCAGAGATTGGCCATTCCGCTACTGCGCAAAGATGGTGGAGGAGGAGAACATCCGCGTGGTTCGTTGTGGCGGCAGCGAGTTGAACTTTAGGAGAGCTGTGTTCTCTGCAGATTCTAAGTATGAGGGGCACCGCGCTTTGTCGGCTGAGGGGCGGGGCGTGAGTTTCTCGAGGGTCGGGGAGAAGGAATTGTCAGTCGCGTTCGGACTCGCCCGCCTGGCGGATATCGGCTTTGGGTAGAGCACGCGCCTGTGGGGGATCCCCAGGGTACCTGGGAGGTCCCGTTACCACTGCAGATTGGGTTGCGTCCCCCGATTCCTGGACAGTTTACCTGCAGGTAGATAAAGGCCCTGGAGCCGGTCTCCGTGTCGAGGATCTGGAAGGTGTTCGGGCGGCTGGAAAATGGTCCAGGGGTGGATGTGTATGCCACTACCTTTGCAGTACCTACTCTTTCGTACAGAATCATGTTTTGGAGTGACTAAAACCTAAAACTATTCCGCTTTTTCTACCCACTCCTCACTCCTGAAGCATAGTGCATGAAGCATAGTGCAGTCTTTTCGGAACTTTACATGAAAACAGATGTTAGATTCTTTATGAGATAAAAATACGCTAAGACTTGGTCTCTTTTCTCAGTGTAGCTGGAAACCAAACCACTCCCTGGCTTCAAAATCCACTTCTTACATTATGAAACCTTTGTAAGTTTCTTAATCTTTGCCTCAGTTGCCATCATCTGTAAAGGGGGACAATATTTAGTTCATCTCACGTGGTTATTGGGAGGATTAAATGCCTCAATATGTTAAAACTACAGACAACAATGCCCGGCACATAATGGCTCAATGTATGTAGCTGTAATCATTATTACTGTATTGTCAGGTTTTCAAATAACTTTAGGTAGGGTGGCACTTAATAAAATCAAAAAACCCTTTCTGCCTTAGAAGAGTAGAGATAGTATTTTATGAAAGTTTGTAGCCTCCACAATATTCTTTTTTTTTTTTTTTTTTTTTTTTTTGATGCAGAATCTCACTCTGTCACCCAGGCTGGAGTGCAGTGGCTCAATCTAGGCTCATTGCAACCTCCGCCTCCCTGGTTCAAGCAATTCTGGTGCCTCGGCCTCCTGAGTAGCAAGTATTATAAGCGCGGGCCACCACGCCCGCTAATTTTTGTATTTTTAGTAGAGAGAGGGTTTCGCCATGTTGGCCAGGCTGCCCTGGAACTCCTGGCCTCAAGTGATCTGCCCACCTGAACCTCCCAAAGTGCAGCGATTACAGTGAGCAACTGTGCCCGGCCCACCCCCACAATATTCTGCATATGAGTGTACGACAGGTAGTTGTTGAAGGTAATGCAAGCATGACTGAAAGAGCTTTTATAAATTGCCTTAGAAGCCAAAAAAAAATGAGTCCTGTGGCTTTGTTGACATTGATCTTATGAATCAAAGGAAGAAACAGGCTTTAAGAGGCTGTCACACTGTGACGCTTCGGACTCATATCCATGTAACCAGTACTGTTCTTATACCTTATTCATTATAATGAGGTCCATTGTGTGTTTGATTTGCTAAGCCCAACAATTCATTTTTTAAGTACTTGTCAACTATATATTATGTATAACATGCTGCAGTGACAAAAACTAAGATAATTTTAATATTGATCCTGCCTTCGAGGAGCTTACAGTCTAGTGAGGAAAAGGAATACTCAGTAACAGATTTTTCTTACTGTGGTCCTGTAGGAAGGAGCTCATAAGAAGAGATTACTTCCCAAACTAAGAAGGACGGAGAAGATTGCTGAGCAAATGACATTTGTGCTAGGCCTAGATGATATTTTAAGTGGGGAATATGGACAGAAGACATTTCAGGTGGGGAGGACAGTGTAAGCAAGAAAGACAGAAGTGATTTCTGTTGAACAGGCTGGTACAGTTAGCTAGTAAGAATGGTATATATTAAGGGAGGTAGTGGGAAATGAGGTTGGAAAGGACACGTGCAGCCAGTTGTTGGTTGTTGTTTGGACCAAAGAGAATGGTTTTTTAATTCTTTAAGGGGACGGCGGTAATCAGTTGTAATTTGATTGTGTTTCTTCAATAATGTTAACCTGAAAACTGTAAAACTCTATGATACATGTTGGTGAGTGGAGAAATGAGAGCTGGGTAGGCTGATGTACATAAAGTACAGTGATGGCATAGAAGAGGGAGTTACATAGTCAGTTTTACCTTCAGTAGTGGTTCTTGCAGCAATGGCAAGAGTTTGCCTCACCAGTAATACTGGGGGATGGAATGCCAGGCAAACAAGCTTGAAATCTGGGGGCCTTGAAAACTGGGGGGATTGAGCCTTCTATGTAAAGTCAGTGTAATTGCAGCATAGGGTATAAGAGATGGCAGGAAAAGACTCTGGAAGAATAGAGACCAGGGGTTAGAAGACCAGTGCAGGCATCCAAGCAAGAAATCACTTTTGCCCAAACTAAGGTAATATTGAACATGGAGAAAAGAGACAGGGTTTTAGAGTGATTTCACAGTCAGTGTCAATGGGGAGATAGAGTTCAGTTCGGGGTTATTAACTCTAAGGTACCTGTAAAACAACCAGGTGGATATAGCTAGTAGTAGGTAGAAATTCAGGACTGAAGTTTGGAGAACTTGGTCAAGATTTAGAGATTTTTTTTTTGTCATCTATATATAAGCTAATAATTAAAACCATTTATCTAACAAATGACAGGATTTTAATGAACTCAGCAAAGATTTGAATATTATCTACAAGGTACCACAAGGGATTGGCTGCCTTATACAAAGAGGAATAATTTTGTATTTTACCTCAAGGTGCTTATCAAGAAAGCCAAAATCATAAAAAGACAGACTTGTGGAATTTTGGCGGCTTCCTCTTGAAACTAGAACAAAAACTCTGTTCTAGGTACTTGAGTAGGTTGTTCTGAGGGGCATGTGGGTATACATGTAAGTTCCTGGTGTTCCCATATTAGATATTACTGACTCTCAGTCCAGTTCTGTTTGCATCCCATTCTGCGGCATCCCACAGTTATATGGTGCTGTGAATTATTGCACTGGGGTTGTTAGGGTAGAGAAAACTGAAACAATGAGTCATCCTTGCCTTTCACTTTCCTAAATTGCCCACAAGCTAATGTCCCAAACTCAGTATTTTTCCCTTACAGATCATTCTGAGTATTGCTGCTGTAACAATTTTCCTAAGTTGTTACTGTTATAACATTATTACTCTAACTCTTATTTCTAGTCTTGCTCTGAACTTTTTAACAGTTTTTTGTTGCCTCCTTAACTATAGCTCCTCTATATGGCTTTCAATCCCTTCTCTGATATAGCTCAACTCTTCCTACCCAACTGTTTCCTGATACTACCCATTATAGACACTTTGCTTGTCAGATAAGTACATTATCTGTGTCTTGTATATAATCATACCATTTCCTTGCTCTTGCTTATGTTGCTATTTTTTCTTCCCACCCCTTAAATCATACATCCTTCAGAGTCTAGTTTAAATCTTGGTTCCGACTTGAAACATCCCTAATTTCTTACTTCTTCACTTTCTCAACAAAGATGAATCCTATGTGACAGGTGTTGTGGTGGGTGCATTACACACCTTCCAGTCTACAAGGTTAAGGTATTATCCCTATTGAGTGAGTGCTTGCTGTGTATGCTAAGCTTGTATTTGCATGCAATGTTTCACTTAAACTCTATGAGAACGTGTTATTTACATTTTACAGTGGCTAACTGTAAGTGGAGATGTGAAGTTTAAAGAGGTTAAGTAAATTCTCCAACATCATTCAGCTAATACATAATAAAGCTGACATTCGAATCCATTTGTGTTTGACTTATTATTGTTTCTAATAAGTGAAAACACAGTGTCTCACCTCAAAGACTCACAGTCTGGTAGAGGAGAAACATAGTACACAGACAGTCTTAATGCCTTGTGGTAAGTTCTGTGATGGAGCTAAGCCCACCGTCGTGTAGAAGCACATTAGGACGGGTGCTGATCTAGAATGAGAAGATGAGGAAGGGCTTCCGGGAGAAAATTCTGAGCTGAATCTTAAAGCAGTAGTCAAGAGTTCTGAGAAATGGGAAAGACTGAAAAACTGTCACTGATTGGAAGGTTCTGAGAAGATATGACAACTAAGGTGGTATGCTGGACTGGGGTCTAGGAACATAAAAAAGACATTAATGGAAAAAGTGAAGAGCTCCAAATAAATTATGTAGTCAATAGTCATGTACCAGTGTTAATATCTTAGTTTTGACTAACATGCTGTGCTTATGTAAAGTGCTAACATTTGTGGAAGCTAGGTGAAGCGTATGCAGGAACTCTGTAATTCTTCTGTAAATCTAAAATTATTTCAAAATTAAAAGTTAAAAAATAAGCTTACTCTTAGGAAATAAAAAAGAAGTAATTAGAAAACGTGTTCTATGTAGATAGCAGAGAGTGCAAAACCATGGAGAGAAAGTTGACTTTGAAGGGTTGCGTTTAAGTAATTGAAGCCATTGTTCTATGCTGAGAAACAAGAAGAGAGGATATTCCTTTTTTCTGAGGAAGCTTATCAGAATCAATTAGGGAAAGTTTTCTTGGCCAACAGTAGCCCCCTACCCACCACTGTCTCAAGGAAGCCATATCTAAAGGACCTCTTCATATTGATAGGGTGTGTCTGGGGGATGGGGGAAATTGTTGGAGTTATGAACTATTTTAATAGAGCACAGTGTTAAGTGAAAAAGTAGTTCAAGTTAGACTGGGATCAGACTACCAAAGCCTTAAGAATTTAGATCATTTCCTAAAGTCAGAGGGAAAACAGTGAAGGATTTTAGCTTTATCTGAGCAAGTAATATGGTCAAATTTGCAAAATTAGTCTGGTGTGACTGTGAAAGCTGCATTGAAGGACTGTACCTGGAGACTGTAGGAAGCCCTGAAGAGTGGCCCAGGCTGGAGATGTTAAGCTTCTGAACTGAAGTACTCATGGGAATGGAGAAGAGGCTCCAGCCAAAGGGCAGGTTATATATCGCAAATGCTTTGTTGCTCATACATTCTTGATCTTATACCATTTCATACAACCATGCCTCCTGGCTGACAGCACTTACAAGAGACCATTGATTATAAGATGCATTCTAATTTCAAAGAGATGAACAAGTGAAAATCAAGTGTCTTGAACTAATAAAATAGGATAGTAGTGGTCCCAGTTTGCAACAAATTTAGTGTGTTGTAATACAGTAGCTCTCCCTTGTCCACAGAGGATATGTTCCAGGACCCTCAGTGGATGCCTAGAACCACAGGTAATACCAGACACTCTATATAGTAAATGTTTTCCTATACATACATACCTATGATAAAGTTTAAGTTATAAATCAGGCACAGAGATTAACATCAATAACTAATAAAATAGAACAATTATAACAATATGTCAGCATCACTACCCTTATACTTTGGGGCCATTATTAAGTAAAATAAGGGTTACTTGAACATAAGTACTTCAGTACAGCAATAGTGGATAGGATAAACTAGACAGTTTCTACGTGACTAACGGGCAGGTGTGTCTACAGCAGAGAATGCTGGAAAAAGGAATGATTCATGTCTCAGGTGAGACAAGGGAATTCACTACTGAGAATGGCATACAATTTTAAACTTATGAATTGTTTCTGGAATTTTCCATTTAATATTTTCAGATTGATCTTGACTGTAGGTAATTAAAACCAGGGAAAGTGAAACCATAAATAAGAGAGTACTGCTATGAATATAATAGACACAGAGCAAATACTTTTTACTTGGAAGATACAAGAAGATTTATATTTCTGCGCCTTGTTCTGTGATAATATCGTGAAAGTAGTCAAACAGTGCCCCAAGTAGCTTAACCACTTTTAGTAATTTAGTAGCTGCTGCTACATGGAAGAAATCCACAAATCCAGAAAGACAAAGCAAAGCTAGCATTTCAGCAACAAGAAACAAAAATGGAATAAAGTCTTTGTATTTTTCTGTACAAAAGGCCCAGACCTCACCAACTGGAGCAGAACCTTTGACTTACCATTTGTAAGCTGGTGTTGCCAGTGAACCATGGAGATGTTGGGGACATGGAAAAACACTGCTGTTGGCAGTACTATTGAAGAGTAATAGTTGATAGTGACTAGTACAGTGTCTGCATCCATTTAATGAGCAGGCAACTTGGTTAAGCTGGCTGTTTTTGCAGGATAATTCCATTTATAGCCTCTGTCTACAAACAGTCAAGAGATATGATATTGGCATCATTAATCTTTTCTGAGTTAATAATCTCTTCTGAGTTAATGAACTGATTGGTCATAGATGTCCCCATAGACAAAAGGCACACAAATTTGAGTATACAATTCTTAAACTATACCAAAAGAAATGTCTGTTGCATTTTTATCATGGACAATAAAAAGATCCTACTACCTATTGAGTATGTGATATGGTTTGGCTGTGTCCCCACCCAAATCTCATTTTGAATTGTAGCTCCCATAATTTCCACATGTGGGAGGGACCCAATTGGAGATAACTGAATCATGGGGGCAGTTTCCCCTATACTGTTCTTGTGGTAGTGAATAAGTCTCACGAGAGCTGATGGATTTATAAAGGGGAGCTCTCCTGCACAAGTTGTTTTTGCCTGCCACCATGTAAGACATGCCTTTTGCCTTCCACCATGATTGTGAAGCCTCCCCAGCCACGTGGAACTGTGAGTCCATTAAATTTCTTTCCTTTATAAATTTGAAGAGGGAGATGGTAAGGTTTTGAATGAGATATGTAAAGCACCTAGGTGCTAGGCTCCCACCTGTAATCTCAGCATTTTGGGAGGCCCAGGCAGGCGTATCACTTGAGGCCAGGAGTTCAAGACCACTGAAACAATGATGAAAAATGTCTTTTTCAGCAGTGTGAAAACAGGCTAATACAGTATGTAAAACTTACTTTTCTTTCTTTTTTTTCCAGGTATATCTTCTGTGTCTCTGGAGACTTTGTTAAAGTTTACAGCACAGTTACAGAAGAGTGTGTACACATACTGCATGGACACAGAAATCTGGTGACTGGAATCCAGCTTAACCCCAACAACCATCTACAGGTGTCAAACAGTTTATAGCTGAATACTTTAAGACTGGCTTTGTTCTTGACAGAAAAATTTGAGTTGAATTTGACTGAGAAACTTTCCAGGTTATAAGTAAAATATTTGCTTATTTTCAGTTGTAGGGTATTTTCCACTTGCTAAATTACATTGCCTATAGCATATTCTGTGAACCATTTGTTCCACAGAATGCTAAGAGGTATTACCTGAGAAGGATATTCTTGGCTGTATGAGTTTCTGAAATTCAGGGCTAGGCACAGTTAAATGTATTTGTTGATTGTAATCTTTTTAGGTTCCCTTACATGCATTGCGAATATCCAAAAGAGGTATGTAGTTTTTGGTGTTTCTCAAACTTACTTGACTTGTGAACCATTTGGTGTCTGGAACACATTTTGAAAAATGTTGGCCAGGAGGTATTGATTTGGTAGATATGTTCCTTTAGAAGTAAGGCTCTGGCTTACTCTAGATATTGCCTAGTCTTAAGACCAGTGTCTAGATAAGAAAATTTGTTTGGTGAGTGGGTCAACTAGTTAGTTTCAAGACAAATTTGGGAATTTAATTTAGTCCAGATTTTCCCACGTCCCCCACAAAGCAGCCCTTCTTTCTTAGTATTTAAGAATAATGAAATGGTCATGTTAATTCTGTTCTTAAGTTTCGGCAAATCTACTAAAATTTTATCTCAACAATATTTTGTTCTTGCTCTTATTTTTAATCCAATTCCATTTTCCTGGATTAGTCACAGCCAACTTGGAAGTTATTGATTAAGGATGGATTTGCATTGCCATTCACTTTTATTCCAAAGGAAATAAAGTAGCACCGATCTTTTCTTTCCAAAATTAAATGAGCTACTTCTAAAAATCAAAGTTAAGTAACTTTTCTACGGGATCCAAGTACATATTTTATGCTTGCCGTCCTCTGAGGGTTTGACAAAAGTTTATCGCTGTGTGTAGTGTTTGAATGTTTTTAATAGCAAAACTATTATTTTGTTAAAATTGAAATTTGTGAAGTCCATATACTAAGTTTTATAGCCAAAAAAACGTATACACAATTCATAAAAGCTTTGTTTCGGATGACTGAAAGTGAGTAAAATTAGAGAAGGGCAGTTTTATCAGATTTGGTTGAGGTGCAGGGGCAGCAGTTCTGGACTTAGGAGTCACAGTGTTTGTGTATTAACCATTGTTTTGACAGTAATTATATGTTTGACTTGTTACATTTTACTAGTCCATATTTATGATTCTCATATGCAGTAATTGTGATATAAATTTCCTAGTTTGTATAATTTTTTGACTTGGATAGATAATATGGTTTTACTCCAACATTTTTACATTCCTCTTCTCTGAGTCCATGTCTCTATTTGCAGAAATCCTAAAATTGCCACTTTCTTTAAAAATATTAAAATTCTTTGTAAACATTATAAGCAAAGTATTTTCCTATAACAACGACAACAAAATCTAGCAGAAACTTAGTATTAATAAAACTAAGTACACTGGGACAAAAGTAAGCCTATGTGTTAGTAAGGTCTTCTGGTGCTACCAAAGTATGGTCCACAGACCAGTGTCCTAAACCATTAGTTACCATTCTGTATAAGAGTACAGAATGTGAGTGTCACAAAACACTTTGACATTGCCTCAGCATCCAAGCATATTATAATTTCTATTGTATTTTATGAAAGTATTGGTCCTTGATGGATTGGAAGAAATTTTTTTAAGCAGAATATTCTTCAGTCACTTGAGAAGCACTCCCTTAATGCTCATATAAGGTAAAAGGAGTTTGGCTAATAAAACTGAGTAAGCTGAGTTCTGGCAGGAAGAGCAACAAGCTCTTGTGTGGGTGTTTTTGTTTTGTTTTGTTTGGTTTTGGTTTTTTTTTCTGGAGAGTCTCACTCTGTCTCCCAGGCTGGAGTACAGCGATGTGATTGATCTCAGCTCACTGCAACCTCAGCCTCCCAAGTAGCTAGGATTACAGGGATGTGCCACCACGCCTGGCTAATTTTTGTAGGGGTTTCGTCATGTTGGCCAGGCTGGTCTCGAACTCCTGGCCTCAAGTGATGCACCCACCTGGGCCTCCCAAAGTGCTGAGATTACAGGTGGCAGCCACTGCACCTTGGTGCTTTTCATATCTCATTCAAAACCTTACCATCTCCCTCTTCAAGACAGAAAGTTGGCTTTTTTCCTCTCTCTTTTAGTTAAAACTTGAAATGGATGGATCTGCTTCTTGCAGAAAGCTGTGAAAAGATTGTTTTGCAGAAGCAATATAAATAAATGACTCTACCTCTTTAAGGTTAACAGTGAATTAATGAATAGAAAATGCCCCTGATCAACATTTAATTATTCATTTGATATCTTGATGAATTTCTTTTTTTTAAATCAATTTTGTATTGTTTTACCCTTTTAGCTGTATTCTTGTTCCCTTGATGGCACAATTAAACTGTGGGACTATATAGATGGCATCTTAATAAAGGTATGTGGATTGATCTTTACTTTTCGTTATGTGAATAAAAAAAGGCAATGTAATTTAATGGTAGATGTACTGTTTCTATAAGGCCAAATATTTAAATAGACTTCCTAAACAAGTTACAAAATAACATCAAAAAAATTAATTTGACTATATAAAAATTTTCCACTTATAAAAGACAAGGTAAAGCTGGAAGAAGATATTTACAAAAGATATTATTCCAAATATACAAAAATCTTCCCAAAAACCAATAAGGAAAAACTAATAGCCTGGTAGAAGAAATTGGCATAAAGTAGGAATATGTAAATTCACAGAAAAGAAATACAAATAGTCAATAAATATGAAGAGATGCTTAAACTCATTAATAAAGAAATCTAAATTAAAACAAATGACACAATATTTCCCCTCATAAATTTAGCCAAATTGTAGATTGAAAAAAAATCTAGTGATAGGTAAAGTATGGAGAAACAGGCACTTTTTTACCCAATGAGAGTTAAAACTGAAAATCAATAAACACGTTTTGCTACAGCAGTCTCACCTCGGAATAATGGCCTGTACACAAAGTCCTTATAGCATTGTTTATGGTAGGAAAAAAGTTAAATATGACCTTGATGTCAGTTAAAATTATGATACATTCAGTACAATACCATTTCAGATCTATATGTAGGAAACTCGAAAGAGTATTTAACAAATATGTATTAGTTGTCTTCTGTAGGCCAGGTACTCTCCTTATGTTGGGAATACAGCAATGAGCAAAATACATAAAAACCCCTGCCTTGATGGATCTTATGTTCCACTGGAGGGAACAGACAGTAAACACTATGGTGCTCTTTATCTTTCAGACTTTCATAGTTGGATGTAAACTTCATGCCCTCTTTACTCTTGCCCAAGCTGAGGATTCTGTCTTTGTTATAGTGAATAAAGAAAAACCAGGTATGGTATAATTAACTTACTATATATGGCATTGAGTGGCTCTTTACATTTTACAGTTCCTCAAAATTTAACATTTTGGTTTTAATCTGAAGCCAACAGTTTTTAGAATGGGCATTTAAATTGCTTTTGTCATTATTGTGCTCATTTGGAGATGGTTTGTATGAATTCTGAAATATGCAGTGAGGGAGGGATTATTTTTTATGTGGTTGTAATAGTAGATTGCAGACCTCAAATTTTAAATCTGCTTTACAAAGGTGGATAGAATTTTGTCTTTCTACTGAACTTAAATCTGTTATTAAGCATCACTATCATTTATCTATCATTGAACACTTCTCACTTTCTTAAGTCAGGGTGGAAATGGCATAGAAAATTGGTTGATATTGGCCAGGCGCAGTGGCTCACGCCTGTAATCCCAGCACTATGGGAGGCCGAGGTGGGCAGATCACAAGGTCAGGAGATCTAGACCATCCTGGCTAACACGGTGAAACCCCGTCTCTACTAAACAAAATACAAAAAATTAGCCGGGTATGGTGGCAGGCACCTGTAGTCCCAGCTACTTGGGAGGCTGAGGCAGGAGAATGGCGTGAATCCAGAAGGTGGAGCTTGCAGTGAGCTGAGATGGCGCCACTGCACTCCAGCCTGGGTGAGACTCTGTCTCCAAAAAAAAAAAAAAAATTGGTTGATATTAAGAACCAATAATGTGACTAAGTTATTATTAATTACATTTTCACTGTCTTTAGAACATTGGTCCATTGAAACTGCTGTGCATCAGCATTTTAGGAATTCCTAGAATATTGTCAGTGATTAGAAATAATTGTCCCTTACCATAGAGTTTGATAAAACAGAACACTGACATGAGGACACATCTATAGAAATTTTCTGATCCCCACATTCAGGAATGCCACTGTATGCTATGGTGTCCTCCATAAAATACAGTTGTGTTCAGAATGAAGAATATGAAGCAGCTTTAAGATGATAGTGGGGCCGGGCATGATGGCTGACAACTGTAATCCCAGTGCTTTGGGAGGCCAGGGCAGGAGGATTGCTTGAGGTCAGGAGTTTGAGACCAGCCTAGGCAACATATACCATGGCCCTGTCTCTAAAAAGACAAAAAGAAAGAAAAGTAAGTTAGATGTGGTGGCTACAGTCCTAGCTACTCAGGAGGCTGAGGTGGGAGGATCACTAAACCACCTCCAAAGGACATTTCAAAAAATGTTCTGGAGATGGCAACGTTCTTAAAAATAATTAAGTCATCTTGCCAGATGACTGCTTCAAACATAGCACTCTTTTTGATATTTAAGTTCGGTTTCGTATGTTGAATACGTGGATTTCTGATAACAGTTCACATGTTTACGAAAAATTCAGGTTCCTAATCTTCCTGACAGGTGGTTGATCACTAGGTTTGGGATGTACTTTAGGAATCTGCATTTTTAATATCGTCCCAGGTGATTCTGCTCATCACTCGTATTTGGTAACAACTTCCTGTACTCACTCCATGATTCCTCACTTGGAAAAGTAGTTGCCAATAGCTGCTAGCAAAACTTTTTACCCATGATTCTAAACACTGACTACACATAAGAATCACATGAAGAACTTAATAAGATTCTGTGTGCTGGGGCCTAGTTTACTGAAAAATTTCTCAGTTGTGTCTAATATGCAAGACAGGATGGAAAACGACTGATCTAAAGTAAAGATCTTGTGTTGTAATCTAAATTCTTCTCATAATGAGATCTATTATTAATCTTCAGTACTTGGCATATAATGGGCACCCAGCATAAGAAAATCTGGATAGCTGCTACATAAAAATGTCAGTCAGGCTTGAAAAGATCCCCTGTGCTAGCTGGCTTGCTTACTGCACCACTGGCCTCTCATACTCAAATACAAAAACATATATTATACATATATGTGTACCCTTTTTGTGTTATCTATGTTCCACAGCCCAAAACCAGACTCTCTGATAGAAAATTGAATAAATCATGTTGCAGTTACTTCTCTGGTTTAAAAACAAATTAGCCTTTCATTTACGTGTTATTTTTGATGGTATTATTTCTTGACTATGTGTCATATAGTCATTCAACACCTAATTGAGCACCCACCGTGTGCTAAATACTGTTATGATTGCACAAAACAAAACACTTCTAAGTCCCAGTAGTAAACTGACTGGATTAGTTAATATGATACAGTAAGATGAAAGGTGGTCTAGAGAAAAATAAAGCAGGGGAGGGAAATGAGCAACATAGGAGGAGTAAATACTAAATGAGAGGAAGAAGGGCTGTGCAGCTGTGTTGGAGAAGGGAGGCCGGTGGAAGTGAGCCAGTGGAGAATAGATTATATTTAGCATCGTAGGCTATTGGAAGGACTTTTGCTTTTACTCTGAGTAAAAAGAATACCCTTAAGGAGATATTTTTTAAAGGGATATAAAGAGAAGAATGTGTCAGTATTACAGAAAAGGAGATTTTACCCTAATATTATGGCAGGCCCATCATAGCATTTCTGAAAACTCTCAGATGATTTGTTGCTTTTAGCTACTCAGCTGACCAACATTCATATTCTTTTTCCATTTTAAAACCCAGCTTAATACTTTGGAATGTAAAATGCACCAGTAAGATACAAGTTGATTTGTATTTCTTTTGTTTTTTTTTTTGAAACAGAGTCTTGCTCTGTCGCCCAGGCTGGAGTGCAGTGGCACAGTCTCGGCTCACTGCAACCTCCACCTCCCGGGTTCACGCCATTCTCCTGCCTCAGCCTCCCGAGTAGCTGGGACTACAGGCGCCCACCACCACGCCTGGCTAATTTTTTGTATTTTTTTAGTAGAGACAGGGTTTCACCGTGTTAGCCAGGATGGTCTCGATCTCCTGACCTTGTGATCCACCCGCCTCGGCCTCCCAGATTTGTATTTCTATATATTTGGGGCATTTATGTACATGAGTTATGGAATTAGACTTCCATTTAAAACTTGCTCATTCAAACAAAGAGTCCACCTTTAAGGTATGTTTTGTTCAAGATTAGCCTAGAATTATTATCTTGCATCAAATAAATTCTAGAGTACTGATTAGCAGTTTCATAGGGCCAGGCACAGTGCCTCACACCTATAATAGCAATTTGGGAGGCAAGATGGGTGGATCACTTGAGGTCAGGAGTTCGAGACCAGCCTGGCCAACATGGTGGAACCCCATCGCCACTAAAAATACAAAAATTAGCCAGGCTTGATGTCACATGCCTGTAGTCCCAGCTACTCAGGAGGCTGAGGCAAGAGAATTGCTTGAACCTGGGAGGCAGAGGTTGCAGTGAGCCGAGATCACGCCACTGCACTCCAGCCTGGGCGACAGAGCAAGACTTTGCCTCAAAAAAAAAAGAATAAATTCCTTACACATGTTTGCTCTCTCTAGAGAAGCTTTATATTAATATAGCTTTCTTTGGCTAGATATATTTCAGCTGGTTTCAGTGAAACTGCCAAAATCCTCAAGCCAGGAAGTAGAAGCCAAGGAGCTGTCCTTTGTTTTGGATTACATAAACCAGTCACCCAAGTGCATTGCCTTTGGAAACGAGGTAAATTTTGTTTTGTTCGTTTTCTGTTTTGTACCTAAAATTTCTTTCCTGCAATCTCTCTTCTGAGCATTTTATGTTACAGTGATTTTATATTCCCTTGAATTACTATATTTGTATTAGTAACTAAGAAGCCTCTTCATTGCTTTAGCATGTATTTATGGTATAGATTTTTTTAGGACTATCCTTATTTTTGTGTGTTCTGTCCTATTGCCTTTGTAAACTCTCTTAGACTATGTGTCTTTAGAAATTATGGCCTCCCATATGTTAATTAATTAATGTTTATAATTAATATGCCCATTATAGAAAATTTGGAAACTACAGAAAAATATAATGAGGAAATAAAACCTATAATCTCACCAGTGATAATTGAAGAATCTCTTTCTAGGCTTTTTTCTTAACATTCATAAAATAACTTTTCCCGAAAAGAATTAAGATCAGAAGTCTTTTCATCTTTTTTTTCACTTAACATTGCAGCATGTGTGTATACTAACATGTTTTTCATAAATTATAACTGATGTTTTTATACTGTGATTTCTTCAGCCATTCCCTGTTAACAGTTACTTTACTATTTTAAAATCAAATGCTATGAAAAGCCTCCGGACATCACTGTAGCGGCATGCTTCTTTAGTCTTAAGTTTTATAGCATTATTTTGGCATTATTCTGAAAAGAGTTAATTTCTCAGAGTAAACTTCTTTAACATCATTAATGTCAGCATTCTTCAGCATTGTTAGTCATCAAATAAATACTAATTAAAACCGTAGCAACATACCACTTTAGGTCCACTAGAATAGCTAATGTTGACAGGATATAGAGCAAAGTTAAATACATTTACCTAGCGATTCCATTCCTACATAAAGAGATGAAAACATAACCACAAAATGATGTGTACAAGAGTGATTATTCATAGTAGCTCCAAAATGTAAATTAACCCAAATATTCATCAGCAAGAGAATAAACAAATGTGATATGCATACAATGGAGTGCCGCTCAGCAATAAAAAGGAGCTAATGACACACATGAGAACGTAGATTAAATTCAAAAAGATGATGGATGATGTTGAGCCACAGAGGACAAGCAGAAAAGAGTGTATATTTTACCATTCCATGAATGTGAAATTCTACAACCGGCAGAGAAATAAGCTATGGTGATCGAAACAGATAGGTGGGATGGAAACATTGAGGAATGACTGTAAAGAGGGAGGAGGGGGCATTTCTGAGGAAGGAAATGTTCTAGATCCTGATTGTGGCAGTGGTTATATAGATGTACATGTATATCAAACATTGCATTTTAGTGTATATAAGTTATTCCTAATTCTAGTCATTGTACTTTAAGCTTGAGAGTCTAGTTTTAGGATTTAGGACCTAAGTTCATCTTTTAATTTTCTGTCATTGTTTCAATAGTATGATTATTCTTTCTATAGCCAAAGTGGAATATATCATATTAATATACTCTTATCAGCTGAACAAAGTTACTGTTAACTTTTGTGGGGGAGTGTTTCTTTTTAAACAGTGTTGGGCCGGGCGCAGTGGCTCACTCCTGTAATCCCAGCACTTTGGGAGGCCGAGGCAGGCGGATCACCTGAGGTCAGGAGTACGAGACCAGCCTGGCCAACATGGTGAAACCCATCTCTACTAGAAATACAAAAATTAGCCAGGCGTGGTGGTAGGTGCCTGTAATCCCAGCTACTTGGGAGGCTGAAGCAGGAGAATCACTTGAACTCGGGAGGCAGAGTTTGCAGTGAGCCGAGATCGCACCATCACATTCCAGCCTGGGGGACAAGAGCGAGACTTTGTCTCAAAAAAAAAAGAAAAAAAAAAGAGTGTTGACTATTTTTGTGAATGTTTATCTTCTTTTTGAAATACTAGGGAGTATATGTTGCTGCAGTACGGGAATTTTACTTGTCTGTTTATTTTTTCAAAAAGAAAACAACATCAAGGTAAGAATTATTTTTTATTAGCTTTATTTTATTTGCTCAAGAGTTCTTTATAATTTTATTTCTTCCTAATACCTATAGTCCAAAGCTATTCCTAGTTTTATGTTGCAAGAGAGTGTAAGACTGTGAAGTATGGAGGTACAGTTTTTAACCATACCGTATAGTTTTTAAGCATACTATTAGTCACCAAAACCTAGGAAGCTTTTTCCAGTCAAAAGCCCTATACACTGAATTCTAGTCTGCATTCTTGGAGTCAAAGTTGGATGTAGTTTGACAGGGTTTCACCACATGATTCTCATTGTCATTTTATGAATGTAGGAATGAATGTAGGCTTTGACATATGTAAGTTTTAATTGGATCAGATTTAGTCTATTTGATCCCCACTGCACCTCAATTTAAAACATATTTAAAATAGAGATAATATCTACCTAACAGAGTTGTACTGATGAATGAGGTGACGTATTTAGAGCAGCTAGTGCTAAGTATTGAATAGTTAACTATTTGAAAATAATAACTACCTCTTCCCTTTTACCCTGCCAAGATTGCTTTTTTTTTTTTTTTTTTTGAGATGGAGTCTTGCTCTGTCGCCCAGGCTGGTGCAATGGTGTGTTCTCGGCTCACTGTAACCTCCGCCTCCCGGGTTCAAGTGATTGTCCCGTCTCAGCCTCCTGAGTAGCTGGGACTATAGGCGTCTGCCACCAGGCTGGCAAATTTTTGTATTTTTAGTAGAGACGGGGTTTCACCATATTGGTCAGGCTGGTCTTGAATTCCTGACCTCAGGTGATCCACCCGCCTCAGCCTCCGAAAGTGCTGGGATTACAGGCGTGAGCCACTGTGCCCGGCCAATTGCTTTCTTTTTAGTATAATATTGATCCTGACTTCTTCAGAGCCTGAAGATTGACAAGTATTCAGCCAAAGAATAGGAAATAGGCTAGATATTATAACAAGTAGATTGATCCCTTTGGATTTGTCCTTTCAGATGCATTAGCCATTTGTCTCAGATCTAATGTCTCAGGTTTGATTATGCCTCATGCTAAGATGTAGGTTCAATGAGAAATTTGAACAAGCTTTGACCAGGCCAAAAAAAAATCACTAAAATCTTTACTTAAATGTCAGTGGCTTCCATAGATAAATTATTATGGTAGAATATTAGTTACATGAAGTTCATGTTGTATATTGATATATGTTTACAAAATAGAATGCTTGATTCTTGATCAAAATTTTCTTTTTAAAAAAAATCCTGCAGTTATATTTATTGAATTCTGAGCTCTACAATTTTGGTTGCTATTGCTGGGAACTCTCTTTTACTTAACTACATCACCACTTATCAAGAGACTTTAATAATTAAGGGAATTTGTTTTTTTTTTCTCCTAGGTTTACTTTATCATCATCAAGAAATAAGAAGCATGCTAAAAACAATTTTACATGTGTAGCATGTCACCCAACGGAAGACTGCATCGCATCTGGTCACATGGATGGCAAAATTCGTCTTTGGTCAGTTTGCTCATGAAGAGCATGGCGATCATTTATGTACTATTTTACGTTAGTCCTGTAGAACAGGGCTATCTCTGGGTCCCAAGAAACAGCCTCCCTTTCCTTTTTTGTGTGCTTTTCATTTCATACTTACTGTTTTAGAATTTCTAGCCTTGGACTTATAAAGTGAGTGAAACATTTTTTGTTGCCTGTAATCATTTTATTGAAGAAAACTTTTTGTTTGCCTTTCTCCAAAAAGGAAAGACTGACAATAGTGAATATCTAGGAGGGTACCACAGATGGCATATTATTTATAGAAGTCAGTCACTCTGGTTAGAAATAGAAAATGTGCACATTAAGACCAGAAGCCTTTATATTATGATTTAGTATGTTTGGTATATATTATGTTTATTGTATTTGGCATGCCATTGTTTTCCTAACTTAAACCTATGGTCAAAATAAGAGTTTTATCTTTCTCCAATAGGAGGAATTTTTATGATGATAAGAAATATACGTACACATGTTTACATTGGCACCATGATATGGTTATGGATTTGGCTTTTTCAGTGACAGGTAAGTGCGGGTTTAATTATTAAAATGAACTTTTGAAGATATGATTCAAGTGTTTTAATTCACTGTATTTTTAGTTTGGAAGATTTAAAACTGCATGAGCCAAATGAATTCCAAACACTTGTGTGTTACCCCTGTATTTTGGGCTTTGCTCAGCACAATATGCTTTAGGTTTTGAAGCCCTTCAAAGTTCTAAAGTGTACATTTGTGATAAAAATCTCTGTTGTTTACATAAATAACCTATTTAAATTATATGACTTTTTGAAGGTATATCTGTCTACATAACTAAGTGTGTGTGGTCCATAACTGTAGCTTATCAGGTGCAAGTAACTATTCTAACACTACATCCATTATCTGATTTAATCATTGGCCGTAGGAAATGAGTGGCATTATACTCATTTTACAGATAAAGGAAGTAGGATTTGGAGTTGATAATTAACTTGCCTAACATGACATGGTGGGTAGGTGGGTTTGGACCTGGTTCTGATTTTAGAGCTCTTGTTTTTAACTGTTACATGGCCTTATTTGACATTAGCTATTTTAAATTAATCTCCATCATTGTTTCATTTAAGCTGCATGACTTCTGTCACAGCTTTGTGTAGTGTAGCTATAGCGAGTAAAAATACCTTTAAAGTAAAGTGGTCTTCAACAGAAATACAGGGAAGTACATCTTGTCTTTGTTTACTTTTAGCATCCTCACACCCATGTGGTGAGAGTTATGTCAGTTTATTTGACTGGTTCTTTAAGAAAGTTACTACATACTAGAGAAGATTGTGTGCCTAAAAAATGAGAAGCCAGGAAAAGTGATTTTTCTTTCTGCAGGTCTTCCTGGAGACTGACAGGACAAGTCTTAGATGGTACCATATGCTGTGGTATCCTTAGAGTCTTACTTGGGTGTAATGCCCGGAAGCCCCAGGAAATAGGAGACACCTTCAACCCGATTATGGTTTGGGGAGTAATGACTAGTGTATGGAGACAATGTAGGCTGCTCATTTGTATTCTCTACCCTCCTTCCCACTCCACACCCTCAAAATACTAGTGAGTGCTTGGTATCCATATGTATGTGTCTGTATATGTTCCAGGCAGGGGTTTTTTTTTTTTTAGACAAGGTCTCACTTTGTTACCCAAGCTGGAGTGCAGTGGCACCATCTTGGCTCACTGCAACCTCGACTTCCTGGGCTCAAATGGTCCTCCCACCTCAGCCCCCTAAGTAGCTGGGACTACAGGCACGCACCACCACGCCCAGCTAATTATTTGTATTTTTTGTAGAGATGGGGTTTCACCGTGTTGCCAGGCTGGTCTCAAACTCCTGACCTCAGGCGATCCCCCCAGCCTCCACCTCCCAAAGTGCTGGGATTACAGGCGTGAGCTACCGTGCCCGGCCATTATTTGAATTCTTGATATTATATTTCAAGTAGCATGAATATTTTTAAATGAGAAATAATGGTTACAGTACATAGTTGTCAGTGAAATGTCCTTACTGACTGTGTGGGTATGAGTTATTAGAAAAAGAAAAAATAGCTGCGTAAATATAAAAGAAATACAGATTTTAGTTGTTTTTGAGAACTTCATAACTTGAGGCATATATGAACTATATGCACAATGTATCATATATGTGTATATATCAGATTAAACTTCTTAATTTTGTTTGTGTACATCACAACTACATACCTTTAGTCTTCTGTTTAGCTAGATTTTATCAGCTTGCAGCTTTAGAAAATTTGATAAAAACCCCATTATAAACCAGTGATCTTTAAAACCAGTTGTTTTAGATTCATGAAAGAATGAAAAATGGTTATTTGATGGAATACTTTTGAGAAAACAGTCTGAAACAGTGTCCTATTTATCCATTTAGTCATTAAGGTAGTCTTTTGCAGGCTTTTGTTAGTTTTCAAACCATTAGATTTAATTGGCCACATTTGACTGGTGGCTACCGTGTTGACAATACAGCTGTTGCTATATTTGAGGAGAATTGATGTTTTTATAGTATTGAGTATTTTAATTTGTAATCATAATAAATACTTTTCCACTTTTTAGGTCTTTATATCCATGAGTTAGGATTTTTTTTCTGTGGTTCTCATATATATTTTTCACTAGACATTTGATGGTCTTTTGATAGTATGTTTTACTCTATATTCTAATTGACTTGCTAGTATTTAAAAATAAAATTGATTGTTATATATTTCTCTTATAATCAGCTAAATTTACTTATTCCATAAGTTTATCTATAAACTATTTTGGCTATGCCTTGGTGTAGTCATGCTGTCTGTGAACATGGAAGTGATTATTTCCTTCTTTCCAATCCTTAAGCCTTTCTGGTTTCATTTCAGTGCACTAGACATCCAGTTAACGTTGAATCAAAATGGTAATAATATTCTTAATCACAAAGGGAAAGTTTTCAATAGTTTAACTTTTAGTGTGGTGTTTGCTATAGATGTTATCCAGGTACTCTTGATGAGATTCAAAGGGTCCCATCCATTCCTGAGTTTCTGAGAGGTATTATCATGAATACGTATAGAATTCTGTCATTTGCTTTTTCTGCATCTATTCAAATAATCATGGTGTTTTCCTTTTGTTCTGTAAGTGGGGTTACATTAATTTATTTTTCAGCTGTTAAGGTAATCTCATTCTTGCAGTAAACTGCGATGACATGATACCCTTTAATATATCATTGGTATAGTATTTTGCTTAAGAATTTTCATCTGTCGTGAAATCGGCTTTTTTTTATATATATATAATATTTTTGGTATAGTATTTAAATGTTTAGAAAAATTTATCAGTGAAGCTATCTTGGCCTAAAGGATATTTGTTTGTCCAGCTTTTCTAGTTGTCAACAGAGGAGTTGGTCAGCAACAAACTAATCAGATATCACTGGAAAAAAAATTCCTGAACCAGTGATCATTTGTCTTCAGAGTATATTAAAAGATACGAAGACACTTTTTGTAGCTTTAAATGAGTTTATTTCTCTAGTACGGTAGCAAAAACAAAAGTGTTAATTATATTTTTCTTTCTCTTTTTTCCTCAAAACACCATCCTTTTAATTTCCTTGAATGGATATGAAGGCACCAGTCTGCTGAGTGGCGGTCGTGAATCTGTACTTGTAGAGTGGCGCGATGCAACAGAGAAGAATAAGGAGTTTCTCCCGCGTTTAGGAGCTACTATTGAACATATCTCAGTCTCGCCTGCAGGAGATTTATTCTGCACTTCTCACTCTGATAATAGTAAGTCTAAATTTTTTATTATGAGGAAATATATAAACACCATAAATTAGCTAGCATCTGTAGGGAACAGAGAATAAAGAGACCTAAAACTAAGAGTAGCGTATGAGATTTAATGAGCCTTCTTTTCCTTGCATTACTCCTCTCTTTTCCACCCCTCTCTACCCCTAGGCACCACCAGAATTCAACATTTTTGAGAATTATTTTTATAAAATGGAAGGCTAAGTGTATTTGGTTATTGATGTGCCACTTACATTTTCAAAGTCTTTTAGTGTGGGATGACATGAGGAAATAAAGGGAAGGTTTGGAAGTGGACATTGGTGCTTTCATAAACCTTCCGTTTTCAAAAGAATACTGCAAGATTCTCTTTTGATACAGCTGTTACCTGGGGGCAAGAGTCCTGTAGATTTGATAGAAATAGAGGCAGTCTTATATTTCTCCAAAACTTTGTTCATCCAGTGACTACTCAGCCTAGACTAGGATATCTTTGTAAATCCACTTCCTTTTCTTTCAAAAAAGAACATAACTGTGAGCAGTCCATTTAGTGGCATGAAAAAGTTAAACTATTTTTATTAGATATACTCTATAGATTTTGCATTAACACTTAAAATGTGTTCATAGGCACAACTGATAAAAACTTAAAGACTCCAACAGAAAAGCCCCTATCCCCACCCCTAGATTTTCCACTAACTCACAAAATGTATTCCTGATTTTCTAGTAGTACTCTGAGTTCATTGAACTTACTGGGTTGTTTTGTATTCTGGTATATTTCAGAATATAAACTCAGGTGACTCCTTCACCTTGAAGCTCTAACCCAGGGGTGTCCAATCTTTTGGCTTCCCTGAGCCACATTGGAAAAAGAATTGTCTTGGGCCAGACATAAAATATACTAACACTAATGATAGCTGATGAGCTAAAAATAATAATAATAATAATGTTTTCAGAAAGTTTATGAATTTGTGTTAGGCTGCATAAAAAGCCACCCTGAGCCACAGGTTGGACAAGCTTTCTCTAACCTATTGATATTTAAATACCTATTTTTTTCTACCCACAGAGATAATAATTATTCACCGAAACCTTGAAGCATCCGCAGTAATTCAAGGCCTAGTGAAAGGTATTGCAGAACTCAGTGGATTTGGAATCATGAACATTTTAAAGAGTGCATATTTCTCTTATTTCACCTGTTATTTGTCACCACTTCTGCAGATAGGAGTATCTTCACTGGTTTGATGATTGATCCAAGAACTAAAGCTTTGGTTTTGAATGGAAAACCTGGCCACCTGCAGTTTTATTCTCTCCAGAGTGATAAACAGTTATACAATGTAAGATTTTGATCATTAGCCTTGAAATTAATGAAAGCTCTTTACAGTACCACTGGAGTCAAGCAATTTGTTTAGTAGCTTTTAAAACAAGATCCTGTGCATATGTTTACTTGAACATAGTATTATCCGTGGTTACTTAGTTCAGTTGTTCAGAGCATAATTCCATTGAGGCCACAGTTGCAGGTTACATGTAAGCCAGTTGGCACTCCTGTACGTGCTGTCTCTGTCTTTTGTTTCAGAATGCCCTCCTATTAGCTATCCCATACATCTGTGCTTTTGAGTCACAAGGATAAAGAAACAAAAATAGGTAGATTGACAGTACAAATTTGTATCTGCTTCGTGGTGAAACACTATCATATTCACATATTGAAGATAAAATTTTCAGTGTAGATTAAAGAGGAACACTTCTTCCAATCCTGATAAGTCCAATCCAGATGTCCCACTTTTCTTGTTCCCCACAGTACTCTTTACAGATCTCTGTCATAGCAACTGTGACACTAGCTCTTTCTCACCGTGGCCTTTAGACCCCTCAAAAAAAAGGAAGCATATTAATCATTTTATGCTTATCTCAAGTATAATGCCTGTAAATTGTAGGCATTTAGTACACTTAATAGTAGGCATTTTATTTACTTAGTATAGGCAAGGAAATGGGATTTTTTTTAAAACAACCATAAATAAATGCTGGCCTACTTACATTGGCTATCTTTTTTCATTTCTTAAAGATTGTAGGTTTATTTCTGTTCTGCTTGTTTCTGTTGACAGAGAATCTAGCCTTGAGATGATGTAAAGCTGTTTGTTCTTAGAAACAAAAGAAAAGCACTACTATAAATTAACGGTTCTGTTGTATCATATAGTGGGTGTTAGTAATCGCTAATATTCAAGGTCATTGAAGAATAATTACCACCAAATTGATACTATTATAATGTGTTCCCTTTTTTAATGGCAATTTTGGTGTCCATAGTAACAATTAGTTCATTTTTGCCTTTATTTAAAAATCTATTACTATACAGTACAGAAGTTGTCTTGGATGTAGTTAATTATCATTTCTTGAATGCTGTAACATTTGTGTATTTATGTTAATAAACATTTTGGTTTTTTGGTTTTTTTTACTCATCAGTTAGATATTATACAGCAAGAATATATTAATGATTATGGTCTGATCCAAATTGAACTAACAAAGGCTGCATTTGGCTGCTTTGGTAACTGGCTTGCAACAGTGGAACAGCGGCAAGAAAAGGAAACTGAGCTTGAATTGCAAATGAAACTGTGGATGTATAATAAGAAAACACAAGGGTAATACTATCTGTGTAGCCACTTAATTTCAAAGTATAAAATATTTCACTTCCCATTTTACAGTTTCAATTGTCTTTAAGATGTTTCATCTTGACAAGGTTTAGATTTAGAGATATGGGAGAGGTTTTATTCTAATAAAACCTTTAAGCTTTCTGCTCTGAGAAGACATTGATGTCCTCTAAGTCATAATGTCATCTCATAATGAATAAAGAAACATGGAAAAGTGACACCTCCTCAAGGGCATAATACCGAATTCTAGGCAAATCCAGGGTTAGAATCCAAATGTTCCCTTGCTCTTCCGTTAACAGCATACTGCCTTTTGAAAAGAGGGAGTGTAGGTAGAAGTGTAGCATAGTATAATGTAGCATGGATGTTGTGATTAGATAAGGAATCCACTCTCGTACTGTGGCTATAATAACCACTTAACAGATCTTTGCTGTGTGCCAAGAACTTGGCTTAGAGCTTTGTACCCATTATCTTACTCTTCAAAAGAACACTGTAAGATAAGCCTGTTGTCTATATTTTATAGGTGAAGAAACAGGCCCAGAGAGATTAAGTGGTTGTCCCTAGTCACTGTTGTTATAACTTGTGCTTTTTTAAAATCACAATCCTATGCTGCCTTGATGTTCTTTTAAGAACACAGTCCTAGTTGTCTTTCATTCACAGCGTTGCCCTCTAAGCTCGAAATAAGCTTTAAGAAGTCATTTAGGTGACTAAAAATAGTAAATAATGACCAGCCAGTTTGACTAAGTAGTTTCCTGTCTATTTTTCCTTGCCCCAGGTGGGGCGTTTCACGGCCTTTCCATTTTTTATTTTCAAAAGTAGGCAGGAATCTGGGTTCTATACAAGTTTCCTACAGAGTTTGATACAGTAGGCTTTTGAGTATCATTGATTGGTGACCTGTATTATCCTCATTTTGTACCAATGTACTAGTGGGTTGACTACTACACAGAATGTTCTCTAAAGTCACACAAGGGCAAAGGTGATATATTAGAACTCTTTGCGTCCTGTGGCCATTAGAGGTAGAGCACTCAATTGTTTGTCATTCTACGTGATTATCAGTTGCCTGTTGTTCAAGATGCTATTGTAAAATGTACAGCATGTCAGAAATTCTTATATACATCACTTTGTCCTCATGCAAGAATAAATTTGTGGTTTCCTTCCCGCTAGGTTTATTCTTAACACTAAAATTAACATGCCACACGAAGACTGCATTACAGCTCTCTGTTTCTGTAATGCAGAAAAATCTGAACAGCCCACCTTGGTTACAGCTAGCAAAGATGGTTACTTCAAAGTATGGATATTAACAGATGACTCTGACATATACAGTAAGTTATTAAATATGTTATGTTTAAAGTGTGCACAATTTTAGGAATTAATTTCTTTTTCTCATGACTTGTATCCATCCTGGGAGGACATTTTCTACTTTATTGAATTCTACAGGATATTGCTTAATCTTAATAGATTTAAGAGATTACATTTTACATGCCTTTTTCCTCAAATCTGTTCTTTTTAAATGGCATTCTTGATTAATCATGTGCTGATTATTCTGTTTTTTTAGGGTAAAGTAAAAGGGGCTTTTACCAAGAGTCCTTTCACTCCTCCACTAGAGGGAGGTCAAGGTCTCCAGGAGAGGGCATAAATTTCAGAACAGTCAGTATTTTGTAGCAGTTCTGACTTAAAGAAGTTGTGGGGAACAGGTTTTCTTGTTTTGTGTCTTTGTTTCTTTTTTATTTTATTTGTTATTTGTGTGTGCATCTTTGTTTCTTAATCCCTACTGCTTATAATGTCCCTCATTTAGCAGTCTCCCTTTAACAGTGGGGGATACAATCCAAGACCCCCCCGCCCCAGTTGATGCCTGAAACTGCAGATAGTACCGAACCCTGTATATACTGTTTTTTTCCTATACATACATACCTGAGATAAAGTTTAATTTATAAATTAGGCACAGTAAGAGGTTAATAACTAATAATAGAATGATTACAATAATATACTGTAATAAAAAGTGAATATGTGCATGCTCTGTGTCTGCCTTTCTCTCTCTTTCAAAATATCTTTTTGTACTGTACACAGCTATTTTCAGACCTCAGTTGACCCCTAGGAACTGAAACCACAGAAAGTGAACCCTCAGATAATGGGAAACTAGGGGGAACTACTGTAGCATTCTCTAGCATTTACACAATTTCTGAACATTATGGCTTATATTTCCACAGAAAAAGCTGTTGGCTGGACCTGTGACTTTGTTGGTAGTTATCACAAGTATCAAGCAACTAACTGTTGTTTCTCCGAAGATGGTTCTTTACTAGCAGTTAGTTTTGAGGAAATAGTCACAATATGGGATTCTGTAACATGGGAACTTAAATGTACATTTTGCCAACGAGCTGGGAAAATAAGGTAGGTAAATCTTCGGGAAGTATGTAGTACTATTTTTTAACTTATTTAAACAAGTCTTAAAACTTTAGTAGTCATTTATGCCCTCTCCAAAAGTAGCCTGAAGGTCAGTGGGGCAAGCAGCTAATCAAAATGCTGGAAAGCCAAAAATTCTGAGTCCACAAACTGTGCCAACATTTCTGAAATTCAGGTTAACATTTAACTCTTGGCCTACATATTTTTTCTTTGGAATACTTTCATGGATGTGCTGAATGGTAACAGAAGCTATACATAAGCCTCAGGGGATCCAAACCTTCTTATTTTCTGTGTATTCCCATAAAAACCGTGTTATGCGCCAACCTCATTGTTTCCGAGAGGTGCAGGGGAAAGTAGCAGCAGCATTTTCAGGTCCTGCTTCAGGTAGTTGGGCCTGAGGACAGAATCAGATGCCTAATGAGATCGTCTCTAATTCCCAGCATGTCTGATTCTGAATTTACTTTGTAAAACTTTCTTCACAATTGAAATCGCAAGTTTTCTTCTTCTTGGTAAATAGGATTTTTGTCAGATGACTGTACGTTTCATGTACATTTTCTCTGTTAGATGTAAATTGGTATACCGCACAGTGTGTTAAAGAATTGGTCATCCGTTCTGTTTTCCTAAAGAAATAGCTAACTAGACCCTTCCTTTTGTACTCCTTAGACACTTTTTTCTTCAGGATAATTATAAACAAAAATATATATGTCTATATAAAAATCTGCATTACATAGAACAGCCGCTGGAAGCCTGCAGTTCTTTGTAACTGAATTTGCTAGAACTGACTGTTGCTAACTTCCTTGTGGTTTTAATCTAGGCACCTTTGCTTTGGGAGATTGACGTGTTCAAAGTATCTACTTGGTGCTACTGAAAATGGCATTCTTTGCTGTTGGAATCTGCTGAGCTGTGCATGTAAGATATTTTTTACTCTAAAGTGATCTGGCAAAGCGCATAAGGAGTTGACATTAAACTTTGGCATTTTAGGACTTAGGGATCATATCATCAGGTCTGTACTTGGAATAGTCAGTTTTTTACGTGACATATGATGCCACCAAAATTTGGAATACTGGGCCTGTAATAGACATTATTTATTAACTGCTTAATTGTTGGTACGTCAGCTTCCATTATCCTTACCTTTTTCTACTGTTTTCAGTGTGTGTGACTTTCTGATGCCCTCCATATTCCCCATCCTCGTAACAATTTGAATAATGTTTTCTGCTCATTTTTAATACTTACTAATCTACATTATCCCTGACAGCTTAAATTCAAATGTAGTCTATCACAGTCCTAACAAATGTGAACTTAGTGGCATTTTACCCATTTGAGTGTATGTTTGGAAGGCATAGTAGCTGCTTATAAATGAATGTGTATGGTAACTTTTTTCAGTATTCTTTACAGTTAACTCTGGTTAACATACTGTACACATTTAGCAGCATCAGAAAAGCACTAGACATAAATTTCAATGAAATAATAATCTTTTCATAGTTTGTACAAGGAGCACTACAGTTCCAGTATGTTTTTCTTTCGGCCTCTCACTTTAGTGCAGCATTCTACAAATCATTTCAGTGTGTCTCCATGTGTGTTAGTTGGAAGCATAAGATTCCTCTTCCTAAGAATAAGAGAAGTTTTTTAAAGCTTTTGGTAAATCTTTCCTTAGAAGTGAATCACCTTTGTTTTTCCCCTCAGTGGAGTGGAATGCAAAATTAAATGTTAGAGTTATGGAACCCGATCCTAATTCAGAGAATATTGCTGCAATCTCTCAGTCTTCAGTGGGTTCAGACTGTAAGTACAAACCACACTTTGTAGTAAGAGAACATCTATGACCTAAGTTTTCTTCTTAATATAATTTGAGCCAAACTTGCCTTCACATCAGATGTTAATTGGAAGCCATTTTGCTTGAGGCACGGCCCTTCTTTGCCCCAACACTTTGTCATTGTGTGCGTCCATACTTAGTTCTAGGAGAGCTCCAATATGTTTCTTATTTTTCCACAAGCCAATTCGTACTCAATCTTTAAAATTCAAGAGATTTCACCAGTTTGACATATTTCCAACTGCCCCTGAGAAGCTTTAATTGGTCATCCTCTATGTTCTTGAAGCAGTTTCTACATATCTCATTTCTAGTACTTACAGACAAAATACTACTGTAATAATATTTTGGTTTCTGTCTTCTGCAGTGGGCCCTGGCCTCTGGAGCACGAATTCTTCTTTCTGTTTTTCATCCTCATAGCCCTCATTCCTAACCTGCCTGGCCCATAGTAGGAACACAGTAGATACCTCTTGAATCAAAGCCTAAAACAGTCATGACTTGGGCCAGTTACTCAATGGGGTGAGTCCCAGGATTAGTGTGATCTGCCAGTCTGAGGCTAGAACTAACCTTTTCAGGCAAAATGTTATTGTTTCTTTGTTTTTTCCCTCTAGTGTTTGTATTTAAACCTAGTGAGCCAAGGCCATTGTATATTCAAAAGGGTATCTCCAGAGAGAAAGTCCAGTGGGGAGTGTTTGTTCCACGAGATGTCCCTGAATCCTTCACCTCAGAAGCTTACCAGTGGCTAAATAGATCCCAGTTTTACTTCCTAACAAAATCACAGGTAACTGCCTCCCTCAAAAAAGGCGATCACTTTGTACATGGAATTTTAGACTAATAGCCCATGACTATTGGTGTGAGTTTGTTTCTAGGTGAAACAGCTTCATTAAAGGATTATTTCCCAAAAAATTGTCTAATATGCTCAGTACAGCAGCATTATTAATGTAAATGTATTACCGTTTTACCCCACACTTTTGAGGTTCCTTAGGTATTGCTTGTATTAACTCTGTGACAGCAAAAAAGCAGAAGACAACTAAAATACTTTAAATTGCATGATTCTTTTTTCTTTTTCTTTTTTTTTTCAGTGTTTGATTTGCAATTTTTAAAATGGTGGCTTGAGTTTTGTCTGTCAGTTATATTTTTTATTCATTACCATTTCTTAAGTATCTCTCAGACATAATCTTGTAACTCTCATCGTGGTTATTAAATAGGTTTAAATCTTTTATTCCTTTTCTGTTGTCAAATATATATATCAAAGTGAAAAATTTGACCTTCTCATTTTTTAACACCCTGTAACACCTTGTTTAGATTTGCACTCTACAGTTTGTCTTTTGCATCATTAATTCTCTCTTTTCAGAGTTTATTGACATTCAGTACAAAGTCTCCAGAAGAAAAACTCACACCAACAAGCAAACAGGTATGTTTTAGCCATTCATAGCAGGATGTATTGCCTCCCTAAAAGGATACAATTACCTTTTAGAAGTCAACTATGAAAAAAATATTTCACTTGGCCCTAAAATAGAATTAAAAGCCATATACTTATAAACTGATATGTGTCTCTTGAAAGTTTTAGTGCTCTTTTAAAATTATTTTAATTTATAATATCAGTAATATATAATTCTGATTTAAAGAGTCAAATATTTTTACAAGGCTCTTCAGAAAAAACTTCTCCAACACCACTACCATTACCCACAAAGACAATCACTCTCAAATCTTTTAGCTGAAGTTTTTATTTAACTCTGAATCTCTAAGAAATCTCTAAGAAATGTTTATATTTCTAATTATAGGTTTTTCAGATTTAGGTATTATCTGTTAACTCTGATCTATTGACGCTGAATTTTTAGCTGTTTTTCACATCAGCACTCCCTGCATATACACAACACACACTTTCCCTACTTGTCCCCCAATTTTCCCCATATGGGTAAATGTTAAATTGGTTAGTTCAGTAGTCATTGTCATAGCTGTGTTAACACAATTCATAGCCAAGCCATGTAGTAATAGGCAGATTGTTTTTCCTTTTGTGACCAAGTTTTTATTTTCTGTGGAGTTAATGATTGCCTTGTTTTTTCATTTGCTTAGTTTTCTATTCTCATGTAATTCAACCCCAAATTCTGCTCAAGTTGTGTAAGTATTCTCTCAGTGTTTTCAGATACATTAGGTATTCTTTCAAGTCATAAAGGATTATTTCCAAGAGCCTTCTGACTGTCTTCAGTCTGGACTGATTGCTCTGGAAACCTGCTACACAGTAGTCATCCTAGGATCTATATTCACCATCATTCTGGGGATTTGTTTGACCTCTACTCTATTAGTGGTGTGGTTTTTCTCTTTCTTTGGTCACTCCCCTGTTTTGGTGAAGCATTCTTTTAGTGCATTGGAGGTCAATTTAAGACCTTGCATGTTTGGAAATGTTTTTATTCTCTTTCACTTGATTATTATAGAGTTGTAGGTTGAAAATCATTCTCGCAGAACTTTGACATTATTGTCCTATTATTTTATAATTTCCATTATTACTAGAAGACCAATACCATTCTTGTTCTTGTTCCTTTGTCTGTAACTTGGCTTGTTTATTTTCCTTTAAAACTCATTGGATTAATTCAATAATTTTTTGTTAATTATTTACTGTACGCCAGGGACCATTGTAGACAGTTGGGATACAGTAGTGAGAAAAGTAGTCAAGTCTCTAAACTTGCGGTATTCACAGTCCACCAGAAGATAGAGACAGTAAACAACATGCATTAAGTAAAATATGGAGTAGAGAAGGTGGTAAGAATTGTGGTGGGGTAGAGAATAGACGAAAAGATGGCATGCATGGGATGCAGCTTGTAATTTTAAACAGGGAAGTCTACGTAGGCCTTATTGAAAAGATTCTGACTTTTTCTCTGAGTTACATATAGGGCCCCTTGGAGAGTTTTGAGTAGAGAACTAAGGAGGAGCTAATTACTTCTTTCTCTATTCTTTTTCTAGAACTCCTATTATTTAGTGCTGGACTTTCTAGAATGGTTCTCTATTATTCTTATTGTTTTGCCTATTTTTTGTTTGTTTTCTGGAAGATTTCCTCATCTTTATCATCAAATCTTTTTTTCTTTTTCATGGTCTGTTTCCATTACATTTTTTTTTGTTTTTGGTTTGTCTTGGTTGCTGCCTTTCATCTAGAGGTTTTCATCAGAGTCTGATGATTCTTGGCTGTCTTTGGATTTAAAAGTGGGTTAAAAAGCCACTTGGAAGTTCTCTGCCTGTGCAGAACTTATCCCTTGGCTTCCACTATCTGAGCTAATTTATTGAGACAGTCTCAAATGTCATTACAATTGACCCTTGAACAATGTAGAGATTGAAAACCTATGTATAACTTTTGACTTCCCAAAACTTAACCTGAAGCCTTACTGATAACAGTTATTTGTATTATATGTATTATATACTGTATTCTTACAATAAAGTATGCTAGAGGAAAAAAAAAAGTTAAGAAATATCATAAGGAGGCCGGGCACGGTGGTTCTTGCCTGTAATCCCACATTTTGGAAGGCCAAGGCAGGTAGATCACTTGAGGTCAGGAGTTCGAGACCAGCCTGGCCAACATGGCAAAACCCCATCTCTACTAAAAATACAAAAATTAGCCAAGCATGGTGGTGCATGCCTGTAATCCCACCTACTCGGGGGCTGAGGCAGGAGAATCACTGGAACCTGGGAGATGGCGGTTGCAGTGAGCCTAGGTCACACCACTGCACTCCAGCCTGGGTGACAGAACAAGACTCCATCTCAAAAAAAAAAATTATAAGAAAGAGAAAAATATATTTATTCATTAAGTGGAAATAGATCATCACAAAGGTCTTCATCCTCATCTTCACATAGAGTAGGCTAAGGAAGAGAAGGAGTTGATCTTGCCATCTCAGGTCTGGCAGAAATAGAAGAAACTCCACATAGACGTGTTATTCGAACCCTTGTTATTCCAAGGTTAGCTGTATCTTTAGGTCTTACTTAGGCTGGTCAAATTAACCATAAAAAATTCTATGCGTTCCTGCCTAAAGGATTTAGACCTACCTGTCAGTGTTCTGAGAACCCCCTACATGAAGTACAACTGCCTAGATATGAAGATACCACCACCACCACCACCGCTATCCATACCTAGCCTAAAGATGTAGAGCCCTCTGCTGGGGCTGAGGAGGAGCTGTGGGGTGCTTTCTAAGTAGACTTTCCACCAGCCCGTCTGGTTTGTCTAGTCCCATTTTCACCCCACATCCAGAGTTACTATTATTACCAACTCCTGAGCATTTGCAGGATTCTGTAGTATGAATTGGGATGCTTCTTGGCTTTCCCTACAGCCAGCTTAGAATTGTGCTTTCTCAGGTCTACTAAGTTCAATACCATCCTTCAGCCTGCTCTCCAGTTTCCAACATGTTACTGTTAAGGCCTTTTCCCTCATTTTCTATCATTGTGAGTATGTGCCCTTTGAAAACCCTTTTGCTGTCATTTTTGTGGGATTTGGTGAAGAAGCAGTGGTAAATGCATGTATTATTCTGTCATCTAAGTGTTCACTGTTAGCTCTTCTCATAAGTGGGATGCTAGGCCTCAGTTGCTTTCTCTGTGAAATGAGAGGATCATACTAACTGGATAATTTGTAAAATTCCTTTCATCCCAGACTTTTTATGATTCTGTAGTACTTACTGTTAAGTCAAACACAGTTCTTCCTTTTTTCTGAAATAATTTCTCTTTGTCTTAAATCCTTAAAGCTGCTAGCAGAAGAAAGTCTTCCCACAACCCCATTTTATTTCATATTGGGAAAACACAGGCAACAGCAGGATGAAAAACTAAACGAAACTTTAGAGAATGAGCTGGTACAACTACCCTTAACAGAAAACATACCCGCAATTAGTGAGGTAAGTAATTATGAAAACCATGTGAAACAGATTAAATGCACTTAAAGCACCTGAAGTTGGAGTTTTGACACAGTCAATCTGTAATTTGTATGCTGTACAACTTTAATACCCAAACTAAATAACTAACAACAAACCGAGTAACTTAACCTTGTGATCTGGGATTGTTTTGTCCTGGACCTGGTGTAGGGATAGGGGTGGTTGTTGGCATAAATGTAGGAAGGTAGAAATGTATTTTTCTTTGGTTTGGCTTTTGTATAGGGAAAGCCTTTTCATGTTTCACTCTTGGCATTTACAATAAAAGGGACTCCGTGAGGACACTGTAGGAACAGACTGCGGTGGAGGATAAGCTTTTTAATTGCAACCGTGTTTTCTGTTTGACTCCAGCTTCTTCACACTCCAGCCCATGTCCTGCCATCTGCTGCTTTCCTGTGCTCCATGTTTGTAAATTCATTGCTGCTGTCTAAAGAGACTAAGAGGTAAAGCAGTTCTTAAGACAGGTTTGGACACTCTCTTTTGGGAAACAGGATCGTTTGTGTTTATCCTTTTTTAGAGTATTCTTCCACTGTATTTCTTTTTATTTCATAAGTTTTAAAATAGATTTAAAGGCTATAGGATTATTAAGTCAAGTAACATACATTGAAAATAAGTTTCAAAAAAGATCTTGTATGTGTGTGTTTTAAGGGCTTGGTACATAATTTAAAATTACATGTTTGTAAATTCACCTGCTCTTTTATAAATAACCCATAATTTTTAAAGTGTACTTAGTAACAAAATTCTTCATTTACTTTGTGTGATTATATTTCTACATAGGTGTCAAATTAGAAAGTTACTGTTTAGAAACATTTAATAGTGTTTATATTTTATTCTGTTATTGTTAAAGTGCTAAGGAAATTCCTGAAGATGTAGATATGGAAGAAGAAAAAGAAAGTGAAGATTCAGATGAAGAAAATGATTTTACCGAAAAAGTCCAGGATACAAGTAACACAGGTTTAGGAGAAGACATTATACATCAGTTGTCAAAATCTGAAGAAAAAGAACTGAGAAAATTTAGGAAAATAGACTACAGCTGGATAGCTGCCCTTTAAGCCTTGGAGATGGGGAGGATCCTTGGACTTTGTGTTTTTGATTGTATGTTGATATTCTAAAAACATCTATTTTAATGTTATTTCTGTTCTAAAAATAAGATAATAAATATTAACAAACTTTGCTTTTTTAAAAAACTGATAATATGAACATGTATTTGCATCATGCTTTACAGTTACTGGATCATTGATATACCACATCATCTCATTTTTTTATTTTGAGTCACACATCAGCCTTATAAAACAAGTAGGTATTTTCTTCACAGGTGATACAGCAGAACTGAGACTTGAACTGTACAGCATATGTCCCCTAAGCTGCAGTTTGGAGATACGAAAAGATTTGAAAGTTAAAAGGCTTTGTTGACATAATTGTTTTAACACAAATTCATTTGGTGGCCAAATGTGACCTGAGCTGGAGTGAGGTTTCTTTAGTCCTGATTTATTCCTCTTAGTGTATTTATTTCTCTCAGAGAAATTTAGAGACGAGTTGATTATGTGGTGTTCCACAAACCTCACTGAGGATATTATATAATAATATGGGCTGCCTAAAATTCTGAATTCAGATGATCTGACCCAAAGTCCAGTTGCTAGTAGAAAACGATCCAGATCCCCTGTTTTAGTTAAAGCAGTGAAGCTGCTACATCTTAACCACCTAGCATTTTGAGTTTTCCACTTCCCTAATGCACTTTTGTAAAATTTATATTTAGAAGTTAGCACAAAAACAAAGCGTTTGTAAGAGCACATCTCAATGAATGTTCACAAAAATTGCTGCAAATGGCTTTTTAGTTTGTGCTGTAGACCAAATGTTTGTTGTGCCCCCCTAAAATTCAAATGTTGGAATCTAATCCTCAATGTGGTATTTGGAGATGGGGCCTTTGGGAGATGATTAGGTCATGAGACTGGAGCCTTTGTGAATAGGATAAATGCTGTTACAAAAGAGACACTGGAGAGCTTCTTTGCCCCTTCTAACACGTGGGGATACAGCAAGAAGAAAACCATCTGTGAACTATGAAGTGGGGCCTCACCAAACAGCAAATCTGGTGCCTTTTTGTTAGACTTTCCGACTTCTGGAACTGAGACATAAGTTTCTGTTTATAAACCACCCGGTCTGTAGCATCCTAAACAGACTTAAAGTGTTTTTGAATCACTATTTATGTAAAATCTTAACTTTTTTTTTTTCAAGTCCCCAACCCCCACCTCGGACTCGTAAGTGGCTGGGACTACAGGCACTCACCACCACACCTGGCTATTTTTTAAATTTTTTGTAGAGATGTCTTGCTATGTTACCCAGGCTAGTCTCAAACTCTTTGGCCTCAAGTGATCCTCCGACCTTGGCTACATTTTTTAAAAATAAGCTACATTGAGATTTGAGATGTAACTCACAAACCATACAATTCATGCATTTAAAGAGGAAAATTTAGTGGGTTTTAATACGTTCAGTCTTGGACACCATCACCACAATCAATTTTAGAACATTTTCATCACCCCAAAACTAGCCATTTCCCTCAGCCTCCTTCACCTCACCAACAATGCAACAACTCATCCTATCTCTGTAAATTTGCCTATTCTGGACATTTCATGTAAATGGACTCATACAATATGTGATCTTTTGTAAGTGGCTGCTTTCATTCAGCATCCATGTTGTAGATATATCAGTACTTCATTCCTTTTTATTTTCACTTTTGTTAGTATACCTATGAGGGGAATTACTGGGTTATTTGGTAACTATGTTTAACCTTTTGAAGAACCACCAGATTTTACATATCAGCTGCAGCATTTTACATTATTTACATTATGGCACATAAATTGCTCCACAGTCATCCGTTAAATTGAGTCCCTTTCTACTGGTGGTGGGATGGAAGGTGGAAATTAAAAAAAAATTGAGATCCCTTTCAGGGGTGCTTTTGTTGTTTTAAGTCTATTTTTTTAAGGGTAGTTTTAGGTCAAGAAAATTGAAAGTACGGAGATTTCCCATATACCCTCTCCCCCAACGCATGCAATAGCCTACCCCATTATCAACATCTCTGGTGCACCAGAGTGGTACATTTGTTACACTTGAAGAACCTACCTCAACCCATCATAATCACCCAAAGTCTAATTTGAATTAGTGTTCAGTCTTGGTGTAATTCTGTGGGTTTATGCAACATATAATAATATGTATCCATCAGTATAGTATTACACGAGTATTTTCACTGCCATCAAAATGCAGCGTTAGTTTTTGAGGCCAGCCTTTGAGGTTTGTTCTGATCCCAGGAGGACCCATTTTAGCTGTCTCTTTCCTTGTTTTCTTTGTTTCTGGTAAACTAGCTAGTTTATGGTTTAGCTTGTTGTTCTAATGGAGCTACCAGTCTCCTCTTAATTGCTTACCACCCAAATCCCCATTGTTTTTGAGGCTTATGTCAGAACTGTATTCTTATGGACTGCCTCTTGCCCCTGGGCAAGATCTCTGAGCCACTGCTCCAGAACCATGAGTAGGCACAAAGGCCCAGTTCTCTCAAGAGTGACACCCCTGCTTTACAAATTGAGCAGAGGCAGTAGCCTACAAGCAAGCTGGGGCAGTGGCGACCAGAGCTCCAGTATTCTTAGCCTACCATCCTTGGAGTAGAGGCTCCACTCTGTGAGTAGGGTCTTGGTGAAGGAAGAGAGATTCCAACCTCTGGCCTGGAATTTAGCCTCTGCAACAGAGAGTTGGAGGCAATGAGAAATGCTCACAGCTGAGGGGAGAGGAAGCTCTGTCTTTTTGGCCACGGCTGCCCAGAATGGAGTTCCTATCATGCTGGCTGAGTTGAGGAAGGAGAGCTTTGTAACTTGAGTGTCACTGTTCTTGCCACCAAGATTTATTAGAATTTCTTGAATAAATGTTTCTTCATTTGCTGTATACCCTTAAAACAATTTCTGAAGACTTTTTTAATTTATTTTTGAGACAGAGTCTCCCTCTGTTGCCCAGGCTGGAATACAGTGGTGCAATCTCGGCCCACTGCCACCTCCGCCTCCCAGGTTCAAGCGATTCTTCTGCCTCAGCGTCCTGAGTATCTGGGACTACAGGCACCAGCCACCACACCTGGCTAATTATGTATTTTTAGTAGAGATGGGGTTTCACCATGTTGGCAAGGCTAGTGTCAAACTCTTGACCTCAAGTGATCCGCCCACCTGGGCCTCCCAAAGTGCTGGGATTACAGGCCTCAAGCCACTGCACCCAGCCAATTTCTGGAGACTTTAAATGGCTAGGTTTTTTAAAGTAACTTTTACTGATTACAGTTGTTCTGAGGAGCAGGTCCATGGATCTCAGACTGCCATTGAAGTAGACCTCTCAAGTCTCAGTTTACATTTTCTTCTTTGCCTTTTTTTTTTTTTCGTTTTTTTCTTATTTCTTTCTGTGCACAATTTGTTGAAAAAATCAAGTTTGCCCTGTGAGTTCGTCACTGATTTTGCAGATTGCTTTCATGGCTTTTAACATGACCCTCTGTATATTGGTAGTTGTATCTAGAGTAGCACTATGCAATAGAACTATAATGCAAGTCCTATGTATAACTTTAAATTCTCTAATAGTTACAATAAAAAAGTAAAAATAACCAAATGAAATTAATGCTAATGATATATTTTCTAAAACCCTGCAATAAATGTTTTATTAAGTTCCACGTATCTAAAATATTTCAACCTATAACCAAGTTTTAAATGATTTATTGGGATATTTTATGTTTTTTTCCATACTACCTTCAAAACTCAGTGTATATTTTATACTTAGAGCACATTTCCATTTGAACTAGCCACATTTCCAGTACTCAATTAGCTACCTGCACCTAGTGGCTATGGTTTTGGACAGCACAAATCTGGAAGCTTGATCAGATTTACTTGGAAATTTTAAGTAAAACAAGAAAGATTGTGTCAACATTCATTTTGATCTTTTCAGCTTCTCCCTCCCTCTTCCTTTAGGAGAGTGGGGCATATTAACATAATTACAAATAAATTTTATTATTTTGCCCTATGCAGACACTGACGTGGTACTTCCAAGTGCAAGAAATGTTTATTTTTTGCAGTTGTACATGAAAGATTTTATACTTTCAAATCAAATTACTTAAATTCGATACATGTCTTTTTAAAACAGTGGTTACTATATAACCTGAAAAATCACTGTGTAAGTGTGGACTTAATTACTTTTTCTAAAAATTTGATCACTCTTACACTAAAACATTGCCAGGGAAGATTATTTTAATTCTTCCTTCAATATTAACAATTCTATTTTCAAAGAATACTATACAAATAATAGGGAAATGGCTGCTTGATTTCTTAAAACCTGGACTTTCATCTAGCCATTCTATAATGCTGTCCCTCAGTTCCTTTCCTACTGGAAACTGGTCCAGTCATAGAAGATGAATCCATAAAGACTACTCACCTTCTATCCTTCCTCATTGTTCATTTCATTTATCTATCAAGACATGAAGTGCTACATTTGGTGCTCTCACTGGTATGTCCATAATGAAAGGCATAGCCTATAATTCAGGAAATATATAATCTCAACTTCACTGGGGAATGGACCGCATGTTAATCACCAACTATGTGCTATGCATTTCACTCACATCATACTTTGTCTATAATATCATGTGTCAGGTGTTACCCCAATTTAACATATGAGGAAACTGCTTTCAGAGAGATTAAGTAAATACTATTTAGGTCACTGAGCTATCAGAGGTGGGGCTATAACAGGAGGACCTCTGCCTATCAAATCCCAAATCTTATGCACTTCTAGAATAACATATTGTCTACCAGACACTTAAAGCAGCTAATTGGCATTACAGAGGGATCTATAATTGGGGAGGAATTATAATAAGAATCAAACAAAATAGCCCAGATCTAGAGCTAATCTCAGCTGTAAATGAGCTAGCTAGCTCTGTGACCTGGCTATAATCCTTTAAACTGTCTGAGCTTAAATCCCCTCATCAGTAAAATGTGCTCTTGCCCCATGCAAATGGTTTTGTTTACCTGACTAATACGATTATATTGCACACATAGGAAATGTGTGTAAAATTGGAATATTGTACAAGATTATACACTTCAGTACATACGAAATTTTAATGAAAAGTCTACTAATTGAATGCATATTGATTAAAATAGCTTCGTTGTTAATGTGCTGAAACAACATTCCTCTTTGGTTTTTTCCTCCTATCATAGCCTAGCACCCAATATAGAAATGATAGAATATGTTGAAATGTTGTGGATAATGTGTTTTAAACAATTTCAGTTCTTTGTACTATGACTATAATGGAGCCTTTAACAGAAACCTATTAACATAACTATCTGGTTAAAACTAACTAAATCTTATAAATGGCATCAATTTTTCTTTGAAGCTGCTCTGTCTGACCTACTACTTCTAGAAATTGTGCTTCCTCTGTTAGTTGTGTTTCTCGATAGCAACAAAAATGACAAAATCACCTTAAGACACCAAAGCCATAATTCTGTCACCACACAATCTTCATAGAAATGGGAAAAGACCTGGGAAGGATTTTGGATCCCAGGTAGCTTATTTATTCCTGATGAATACCTTTGAGATTAAAACAAAATAGAAATGAAAGTAACTGGGATTTGATAGTAGTACACTATGACAACAGGAGGTGAGTAGACTGGAATGAAAATGAACCACTCAACCACAGAGATGCAGTCAATAATTATGATGCTCAGATTGCTTTGTTTTTCAAAAACCATGAGCAAACCACTTAATCTCTGAGTCTCAGTTCCTTCATCTAAATTGCAGAATTAGACAAAGTGACCCTTCCAGCTCTGATATTCTGTGACATCAAAACTTAGATACCAGAATATTGCAGCATAGGTCCCACATCCCATCCCATGTCTCAGAATGCCAAGAAACTGGTCTTGCAAGTATTAAATTTTCGGTGCATGTATATAAATAGGTGGAGAGATGGCTATCTTAGTTTTCCATCTTCAGGCATGACATACATACCCCTGGCTTAGAAACTCCCTGGGAGATCAGAGCACTTGGTTCACAAAATGAAATAATCAGACATGAAAGTGCACCAGTTCCTTTCATTGTTTTGTTGAGTTTTGATCATCCTTGTTACTCAGTGGTTGTCTACTTTAACGGAAGGATGAATATAAGTGCTCTGAAAACAAGCACTTTAAATGCAAATATTTGGATATTATGCTCTAGCTCACATAGGAATGTAAGTTAAATTCATATTCTTTCGGAAATGCCTGTCTGCAGTTGTGAAATTGAGTCCACTAGCCCAGCTCAATGTGGCGTTTCTGCCAGAAAGAGCACTGGTCTAGGAGTCAGAAGACTACTAGCTCCAGTTCTGCCTCTGCCTAGATTTGAACCTCTCAAGTTATTTGAGGTCTTATGGTTTGAATCTCTACGAAGCCTGGGTTCCATTAGATGGTCTTCTGAGCCCCTTTGTTGACTCTCAAATTGTGATTCTCCAAAATGCCCAGAACTCTGTTAGCCCTATCCAAAAATATATGTGTGGCCTTGCTACTTAATTGCAACCTTGGTGCTGGACAGAAGAGAAAAGCAGCTTCAAAGACTACATTTCTGAATAAGAGAGAAGATCCTGCACTAATGAAAGAAGGCTTGAGGTATCCTTTGCCTGAATCTCTTTAGACTTTACCCCAGAGAATAGGCTTGGAGTCAGAACTCCCATCAGCAACATGTCCAGAGAAACTATGAGCTAAGTATTTAATACAGCTCCCAGGGGCAGGCTGACCCCGCAGGGCTCAAAACATGGAATAAGGGAGCAGGCTGTAGGACACACAAGGAGCTCTCCTATTTGTTGAATGAAGATGGCCATAGAATGAACAAGATAAGAGCAGGTAGGTTTGTTAAACTCAACAGTCAAGGTGAAATGAAGGGCCAACGCTTGTCTTTATAAGCAAATCTTTTTCCCAGGCTCCAAGTACCCCCTTAAGCCACTGAAGAGTGATATATTCTGCAACATGAGCAAGGATTTCATGAATTTTAGGCAGTGAAGGGATTTTTGGAACTGCCAACTAAATATGTCTGACTTCATTACACTCCATCCCTCTGCTATGTCCGACCTGTGTAACACTCCTCTCATCCCCCTAATTCATGACCTTGGCAGAAAATGTCCTCTTGACTATATAAAACAAGCTAAAGGAAACACTGAACACCACAAGATGTACCACATCTGTGCAGGTCTTTTAGCTAAAGGGGCAGAGAGAAGCATCACTGGCTACTGAAAACCGAACAACACAGAGAACACAACTGTATTGGTATGTGCTAGAATTGGGAATATCTTGAGACAAGGACAAGAAATTCCTGTGTTATATTTGCCTTTGCCTTCTTCCTGACTCATCTAACTTCTTTCCTCTTTTAGTGGGAAATTGGACTACTCTGAAAATGTCTGCTTGTTTTTGGAGAATATCTACAGCAGAAGAAATTTGCACAGCAGTCACTCGGTCCACATTTACTCTTCAGGATGTTGTGGAATGTACCCCCAGGTTGCTTTTGGAGTGCAAATAAAATGTAGCTCAACCCCACCTCAGCCACAGTGGCTCTGCTGACTTACTGGGAAAAACACTCAAACTTCCATGGGCATCCCTTTCCTCATCAGTGAAGTGAGAAGAGGCTGAGGCACCTCAGGGGCCTTCCAACTCTGATAGTCCTTGATTGCAAGTGTACTACGTAATACTTTTTGTAATGAAGAGGGTAATTAATGCATTGATAATGATAATTCATTGTAGAATATGGTAATAGAATAGAGAATCTTACTATGTTGGACAGAATTTTTTATACAACTAAAAATGGAGGAATGGACATCTTCTCCCAGCATAGAACTGCAGTGACACCCACGTAGTACCGGCTCTAGTGGTGCTCAAGCCCGGGTTTATGTATGTTGTTGGGGTTGAGGTCGGAGGGTGGGTTAGACATGAATAACTTATGGCAGCGATTACTGCAAGTTTCTTAAGGGCCCCAGAGGTATAATAATAACATAATAATTATGAGAATATCCAGCGTCTTTCTAAAACTCATCATGTGCCATTTAATCCACACCTTAAGATACATGTGAAAATGCAGTTTTGTAATATCTAGTTCGCAGAGTAAGACACTGAGAACCAGGAAGGTTTGGTGAATTGCCCAGGGTCACAGCACTAGTAAATGGATGAGCCAATGCTCCAGCTCAATTTGGCTCTAGCACTCGTTCCTTAGCCACTGTGGTCCCCAAAATCAGCAAGAGGGCTTCTTCACCACCACCCTCAGGCCTCCTACAAGTGCAGCACCCCGGGTCTGGAACATTCCCATTCTGATGAGGCTGGGGGGAGGGGGGGTCTCTGCCCCACCTGGCCTCAGGCCATCGTTGAGTGATGTCTGCCTGCACCACTGTCCCCACCCACTGGAGGCCGTTTGGTCTCCTTTGTACCTCCTCTCAATCTTACCATAGCCTCAGCTGCTCTGCAGATCCCAGGCATCATCCTGAAGCTGCTCAGGTGGGTGAATGAAAGTCTGGACTCTTTCCCTGTGGAAGGTGAATGCCTGCCTGGGCAACAGTACTGCTGCCATCTCAGCTAGTGTGAGAAGGGCTGTGGGTGTGTGCCTGGTACAGAGCACCATTCAAATGCGTGCAGGCCTTGCTGCCGGTGCTGCCCAAGAAGCTGCAGGCTGCCTATACCCTGTATCACTACCCTCCCTGTGACACTGCTAGACCAGCTGGGCTGCCTCAGCACAGCCTGGCACAATACATGTGTGGAGGACAAGGAGTCCATGGACTCACCTGGTGCTCATCTCCGGGATTACCTTCCTCATCCTGGAACTGACTCTGATCCCTTCCTACTGCATGGCCCTCATCGTCATCTGGGGCTTGAAGTCCCAGATTATTTGCTCCTTATGTAAACAAAATATTTCCAGGGGCCAGATAGCCTCACACAGCTCAGCTTTTATGGCCTAGAGATATCTCCCAGGTCTGTGTTTCATCCTGCGACAGCGCTATCATCTTCCTGGCCCCTCAGGGCTTAATTTAGGAACTGTATTTGTCAGGGTTCTCTAAAGGTAGACTGATTCAGGGACCTTGTCTGTATTATAATCATTTGGCTCTCTCAAGGATAGAAGAGAAATTGCACAATCAGTTCAGATAGGAGCAGTTTTGTTGTTGTTGTTGTTGTTGTTGTTTTGTTTGTTTGTTTGTTTGTTTTTTGAGACGGAGTCTTGCTCTGTCATCAGGCTGGAGTGCAATGTGCAGTCTAGGCTCACTGCAACCTCCGCCTCCCGAGTTCAAGTGATACTCCTGCCTCAGCCTCCCGAATAGCTGGGACTACAGGTGTGTGCCACCACACCCAGCTAATTTTTGTATTTTTAGTAGAGACGGGGTTTCACCATGTTGGCCAGGCTGGTCTCAAACCCCTGACCTCGTGATCCACCCGCCTCAGCCTCCCAAAGTGCTGGGATTACAGGCATGAGCCACTGGGCCAGCCCAGATTGGAGCAGTTAATTAGACAAGTGGACATAGATCTAATTCTCATGATATGTGAAGAGTGTCAGGAGGCTAGGGTTTGTCACAGGAAATTAAGAAATCCAGGGAAGCTTTTTTTTTCCCCTCAAATAACCACAATGTCCTAATCATACCAAGGAGTGCCTAGAAATTTCTAGGATACAAATTTCAATTTTTTTCAATAGGTTTTTGAGTTTATACTTTGCATAAAAGTGCACAAGATCCAGCTTCTATCCTTAAGTTGCAACAGTCTATATGGTCAATTTGTTATAAGCCCCTGATACCTGAAACTATGCCTTCCTCAGTTTCAGAGTAGGCCCACCATCATCACAGATAGGCAGGCTTAATGTTAAATAGCAAGAGAAGATTCTAACCAGATGTCCTGCCTTCAAATAACCCCACGAAAATTGCTGCCTCACTGTCACTGCACCCAGCTGTTCTGGGAGCATGTACTATTAAAAGAAACTTGTCTATCCAGACTCCTCTGCAGTTTACAAAATGCCAATGCGCACTGAATATCTCATCAATCTCAGTAACTATAGACAGAAGAGTTACATAGCACAGAAGCTGTTACTTCCCCAAAGTCAAATGATGAATAACTGATAGAATTCAAATCCTAATCCAGACCTTTTGACTACAAAACTGGAATTCTTTCCACTTCCTTTGTTCTATGTAGACCCTCAGTAATGTTAATAATACAAGGTTAATTATTGAAATAGTTGTTATTCTCATTCTACTTCTTAGGAAATTAAGATGTCAAAACTTTTTAAAACAGACCAGCTTAAAAAATTGTATAAGAATTGAATGGCATTGAATTTTTGGCCATAAAAAATATGTATATAAATTGAAGCCCCACTTTTTGCCATATGTCACAACTCTAATACTAGGAACTGATGTTAGTAAGTGGACTAATTGTGTAGTAATCTAAGACAATATCATTTTGTTTTAACAAGGGTATTTTATAAACACTTTATTATATGAATGCTTGAGTGCAAAATGTTTAACCCTTAAAATTAGCAAAATTTCATTTAAATTAAAACTCCATTTAACGAAAAATGGTTAACTCTGAGAATTGTATAGTAGTTGACTTCTGCTATACAATGTCAAGCCTACACAATACAATAAGAACTGCATCATGGCTGTTTATTTTCTCCATTGCTCTTCTGAAACTGTTCCAAAGGAGTGGGAGAAGGCTACTAGACAAACATGAAACAAAATGCAGCTCAAATTAATTGCCCAGAGTGACTCCTAATAGTTGCAAGTACATTTTGACTCAGTTGTCCAACCAAATAGCTGGGGGTTAACTGCAGGTATTGTTCCAGAGCTGCCAAGAAGTTTTGTTTTTAGAGCTTAGTAAAAGTTCTGCAGTAGATGAGAAGTTGCAATTTAAAGCTCCATATTCTGTAGTTACTACTCATACATACTTATTATCTGTAAACACCATAAATATATATTAAAAAGAGTACTCTCGCCAGTCAATATAGTTTAAAAATAAAAGATGAGGTAACATCATTCTCAAAGTCCACCAGAATCTTGCCTGAAGACTTTGAGCAGCTGCCAATATTTCATTTTCATTTGTGCGTGGGTAGAGGCATCTCTGACGGACTTTAACAAAACTGGATCCACTGGTTTTTAGTATAGCAGCAACATCTTTCAATGCGTGGTAGATAACGTACCTCACCTGTAATACATCTTTGTGATTGGTATGAATCTGTGACAGATAACGGAATTCCTGTCTAAACCAGGAGCATTGTTTAACATGCTCTAGAGAAACAAAATTTTCAGTCATTTTGATACCACTATGTAAGTTATGGGTCTGATGTGGAGTTCCTGCTGTGATAAACACTGCTTCTCTGAGAAATTGTATAATAGCTCAGCCTTGACCTCCATACTCTTCATGAAGATGCTTTCTTAGTGATCTGTCTAAATACCAGCTCTGATCACAAATAGGATCATGGTCTGCTGGATTTTCTTTTCTTTTCTCTTCTTTTCTTTCTTTTCTTTTCTTCCTTCCTTCCTTCTTTCTTTTCTTTTCTTTTCTTTTTTTTGAGAAAGGGTCTCACTCTGTTGCTCAGGCTGGAGTGCAGTGACACAAACACAGCTCGCTGCAGCCTCGACTTCCTTGGCTCAAGCCATCCTCCTGCTTCAGCCTCTCCAGTAGCTGGGACCACAGATGCACACCACCACACCCAGCTAATTTCGTTATTTTTTGTTAGAGATGGAGTTTTGCCATGTGGCCCAGACTAGTCTTGAATTCCTGGGCTCAGCGATCCACCCATCTTGGCCTCCCAAAGTTCTGGGACTGCAGGTGTGAACCACCACGCCCGGCCTGCTGGGTTTTCTTGAGTTTGTTGTGAGTTCGTCAGCATTCCATCTTGGATAGTTTTAAGGAGTTCTTCATGGTCACACTATCCTTTGGAAATTTCCACATAGACCATAACACTGGCTACACCAGATATATCTAAATAAAGACTTGAGGCTCCATATTTCCAATCTCTAATAAGCCTGTAAGCATTATGTATCTTCAGAACCAGATCTGGCCAAACAAAGTAGTTTGGCAGTCTAGAGAACAAATTTAGTTTGCCATCTCATTTTGTGTACTCAAGTGTGCTCAGGCAATGGAATGTTGGCAATCAGATCATCAAACCTGGAAGCGATCATATCTCTAAAATCTTCTCCTTGTGGCTAGTCCTTAAGTTTCCACATCATTATTTTTCATTTTAAAGCTTTTTGGAATAACTTCAAACCCGCTCTAGAAGTCTACTGTGGCTTCTGTGATCATTTCATTAGGTCCTGCCATTAACTATGTTGACTTCCATATCTCCTTTGGTGAAAGATTCAGGCTTCCAAGGTTCACCATTTAATTTATGATGCACCCCACAAACCCTCACTAGCTGCCCTATTTCCATCACTCCCTGAACACATTCCAGTTGCTCCTGTTGGGATCTTGCAAACAGAGCAGGCAATTATCTCATAGCCAGGTATGAGGAGTGTCAGCATGCTGGCTTGTCCTCAGTCCCTGAGGGTGCTTAGCTAAATCAGAGGACATTTTGTTTTCCACTAAAGAAGCACAGATGTCATCAAGGATTTTTGGTGTATTCTTGAGCCCATTTTCTGTCTTTTTTTGTCTTGTTGACATTCCCACCAGTTAGGTAGGTCAGTCAGTCAGTTTAAAGCAGATGTGCTGGCTGGACAGGCAGACTTTGTGCCTCTGGCTGGCTTGGAGGCTACATCTCCATCCGTGGCTGCTGTGCTAACACTGAGGAATTCTGCTGGAGCATTGTACCAAGAGTAGGTTTTTCTCCAACTATGGAAGTCTGCTTTATGTCTTCCTTTGAGATTGGCTTTGTTAAGAGTTTGGATTGCCTATTTGAACAGAAACAATCTGCCTTTATTCCACATTTTGCTCTTACAAAATGAACAGTCTCCAACAGCATGGAGAGATTTTCCAGGAATCATCATATAAACTTTTATATGACAGTGCTACCAGTCATATAAAAGTATAGCAATACAATTATTACATATAGCCATTATATTTGATAATAATAAATGACTACATTACTGGTTTATGTATTTACTATAGTGTACTTTTTGTTATTTTAGAATATACCTTTTCTACTTACTTAAAAAAAATTCCTATAAAAAAGCCTCAGGAAGGTCCTTTGGGAAGTATTCAAAAAGAAAGCATTGTTATCACAGGAGATGACAACTTCATGTATGTTATTGCCCCTGAAGACCTTCCAGGGGGACTAGATGTAGAGATGGAAGACAGTAATATTGATGATCCCATCATCAATATGTGGGCCTAGGCTAATTTGTATGTTTATATCTTAGTTTTTAACCAAAAAAGTAAAAAAAGTTTTTAAAAGTTTAAAAGTAGAAAACAGCTTATAAAATAGAATATAAAGAAATGAAATATTTTTGTAGCATGTGTTTATATTTTAAGCTGTGCTATTACAAAAAATCAAAAAGTTAAAAAATTAAAAAGTTTATAAAGTGAAAAAGTTACAGTAAGCTAAGGTTAATTTATTATTGAGAAAGATAAAATTTTTAAATTTAGTGTAGCCTAAGTGTACAGTGTTTATAAAGTCTACAGTAGTGTATAGTAATGTCCTAGGCCTTCAAATTCAATCACCACTCACTCACTGATGCACCCAGAACACCTCCAATGGGTAAGCTCCACTCATGGTAAGTGCCCCATCCACAGGTGTAGTATTTTTTATCTATCTATCTATCTATCTATCTATCTATCTATCTATCATTTATTTATTTTGAGGCAGGGTCTCACTCTGTCAGGCTGGAGTGCAGTGGTGTGATCACAGTTCATTGCAGCCTTGATCTCCCAGGCTCAAGCAATCCTCCTACTTTAGCCTCCCAAGTAGCTGGGACTACAGACACACCACCAGGCATGCACCACCATGCCTGGTTAATTTTGTAAAAATTGTTTGTAGAGACAGGGTCTCACTAAAGTTGTCCAGGCTGGCCTCAAACTCCTGGGCTCAAGTGAGCCTCCCACCTTGGTCTCACAAAATGTACTTTTAGCCAGGTGCGGTGGCTCACACCTGTAATCCCAGTGCTTTGGAAGGCCGAGGCAGGTGCATCACCTGAGGTCAGGAGTTCAAGACCAGCCTGACCAACATGGAGAAACTCCAATTCTACTAAAAATACAAAATTACCCGGGCAAGGTGGCACATGCCTGTAATCCCAGCTACTCAGGAGGCTGAGGCAGGAGAATCACTTGAACCCGGGAGGTGGAGGTTGCCGTGAGCCAAGATCAAGCCATTGCACTCCTGCCTGGGCAACAAGAGCAAAACTCCATCACAATAAATAAATAAATAAATAAAAGTATACTTTTAATCTTGTACACCATATTTTAACTGTACCTCTTCTATGTTTAGATCACAGACCCTTGCATAGGGTTACAATTGTTTATAGTATTAAGTACAGCAACATGCTGTACAGGTTTGTATCCTAGGAGCAATAGGTTATACCTTATACAGGCATACCTCAGAGATACTGAGGGTTTAGTTCCAGACAACTACAATAAAATCAATTATTGCAATAAAGTGTGTCACACATATTTTTTGGTTTCTCAGTACATATAAAAGTTATGTTTAAACTCTACTGTCACCTATTAAGTGTACAATAATATTACACCTAATAAAAATGTACATACGTGTACAGACAGGGGAATGTCTGGTCAGTGGATTAGTCAGAACACATTTACCGATTAAGTTCACCTTTTTCTGTAAGTGTGGTTCATGGCACCCAAAAACAATTACAAAACATGGCACCCAAAAACAATTACAACAGTAACATCAAAGATCATTGATCACAGATCATCATAATACATATAATAATGAAAAATTTGAAATATTATGGGAATTACCAAAATGTGACATAGAGACATGCAGTGGCCACATTCTGTTGGAAAATAGTGCTGATAGATTTTTATCAGGGAAGCAAAAGCACTTCCACAGCAGAATCTTTATATATTCATTGGCTAAGATTGAGTCATTTGGCCAAGATAATCTAGAAATCAAGTGTCTGGAAAAGAAAAAGAACAACAGGATTATAGACTGGTTATAGTGCATCCTCTGGAGCTGGGCAGATTGCTGCCTGTAATACTGTGCTTCATAACAAGCAATTCCCCAAACCTTTGTGGTTTATAAGAACAAGCATTTGTTCCCCGCTTATGGACATGTAGGTCATTAATGACTCTGCTAGTTTTGGTCAGGACTGACTGGGCTTGGATCCAGGACATGTATGGTACGTGTATGTTTTTATGTCTTCCCTGCATATAACTTTTTCTTTTTTGAGACATGGTCTTGCTCTGTCATCCAGGCTGGAGAGCAGTGGCATGATCACAGCTCACTGCAGCCCCAACCTCCTGTGCTCAAGCAATCCTCTCATCTCAGCCTCCAAAGTAGCTAGGACTTGACTTTAGGTGCAAGCCATCATATCTGGCTAATTTTTGTACTTTTTGTAAAGACAGGGTTTCACTCCATTCCCCAGGCTGGTCTCAAACTCCTGGGCTCAAGAAATCCTCCCATCTTGGCTTCTCAAAGTGCTGGGATTACAGGCATGAGCCACCATGCCCAGCCAACTCCACATATATGTTCATTATGGCACTACTGGCCACCCATAGTATGTTCTTCTCATGGAAAATGAGAGAAGTGCAAGAAATCAGATAAAAGCACACAAATACATTTACAATCTCTGTTCGTGTGATATCCAGTAACATTCCATTTGCCAGACAAATCACCTGGCTAAGTCCAACATAAATGGGGTGAGGAGACATACTCTGTACACTCCATTGGAAAGTGCTACAAAGTCGCATGTCAAGAGGTGTATATGCATAATTCAATTGTAGAATGGGAATGGATTGGGAACACAGATCTAATCTATCACCTCATTCCAAACAAAACTGGTACCCTGACAGCAAGCAAGAAAGGAATGATTATTGGCTAGCCATGCAATTGTATCTTCACATTAGAGTAGTTGTAAAAGCCCTTACGAACTTAATTGGCAGGAGAAAAAGGAGAAAGTAAGGAAATGGTTGAGTGACAAATTGCTTTCCCGGGCAGAGGTTTTCAGCTATAACATTAATGCTGACTTCAGGAGTGCAGAGCTGGGTGCATCTACCCCAGAGAGTGAGTTCTGAGAGCCTTCTACCTTCAACTGCATGCTCTTCATGTTGAATTAAAAGTATTTTTTGAGCATGAAGAACATGAGCCTCAAACATAACATTTCCTACGATTTTTTTTTTTTTTTTTTGTATTTTTAGTAGAGACGAGGTTTCACCGTGTTAGCCAGGATGGTCTTGATCTCTTGACCTGGTGATCCACCTGCCTCGGCCTCCCAAAGTGCTGGGATTACAGGCGTAAGCCACCGCGCCCAGCCATACGATTTTTTTAAAGTCAGGCTTTCACATACTTTCTAATTCTCCCATCTCACTTTTTTTTTTCAAGTAATTTGGTTGGGTGCAGCTGCTTATGCCTGTAATCCTAGCAATTTGGGAGGTCGAGGTGGGTGGATGGCTTGAGGCCAAGAGTTCTAGACCAGGCTGGCCAACATGGTGAAACCCCTTCTCTACTAAAATTATAAAAACTAGCTGGGTGTTGTGGCGTGTGCCTGTAATCCCAGCTACTTGGGAGGCTGAGGCAGGAGAATTGCCTGAACCTGGGAGGTAGAGGTTGCAGTGAGCTGACACTGGCCCCAATGCACTCCAACCTGGGTGACACAGTGAGACTCTGTCTCAAAAAAAAAAAAAAAAAAAAGTAATTTGTTTTGAGTCAGCACCCTTGGAGTTTATCCACCTAAGAGAGAAACAAAGAAATCAAAAGTTAAAAATGCAAATCCCTCCAGAGTTTCCAGAGTTTGCAGATATTTTAAATGTGCTGAAGCAGCGCTGGTTATAGTGGGAGCCAGCCTCCAACATGGTCCCCAATGATCCTCTCTTCCTAGTATTCAGATCCTTGCATAGTCTCCTTCCACATTGTGCCAGACTTGGTCTGCGTGAACAGTAGTATACAGCAGAAACAACAGTAGGTCACCTCTGAGATTAGGTTATAAAAGGCACTGCTGCTTCTGTCTTGAGCACTCTCTTACTCTCTCCCCTCGATTTCTCTCTCAGATGACTCGCTTTGAGGGAAACCCATTGCCATGTTGTAGGCAGGTCTGTGGAAGGTCCAACATGGTGAGGAATTGAGTCCTCTCACTAATGGCCACCTGATAAGGCATCTTGGAAGCATATCCTCCAGCTCAGTCAAGCCTTCAGATGACTACAGACTTAGTCGATAGCTTGCCGGCAACTCTGTGAGAAACCCTAAGAGAAAACCACCAGACTAAGCAACTCTGGATTCCTGACTCACAGAAAATGCCTAAGATATGTTTGTTTGAAGCTGCTAAGCAGTTGGCATAATTTATTACACAGCAATAGACAACTAATACCATCACAAAAATATGCAATCACCAAGACCCCATTGGAAATGTTAACTCAAGAACACAAAGACTTACTTGGCACTCACAGATAAGGAAACTACCACTGTCAAATCTGCTGCCCAACATTCATAAAACTAGTGTCTGAACACTGAAGGGCTCATGTAATAAAAAGCCAATACCTAGTCAATGACCACACTGGCACGCAGCAACAGTTGAAGCAAAAGATTGTGACCTAGGCCTCACTTTCTCTTCCAAATCTCACATCTTACACAACTATTTGGCAAAACCTAATTTGCATCTAAATCAGTAACTGCAAGAAAGCCTTGGAGGTACAAGCTTTAGCTTTCCAGGCTGTGTTCTATGGAAATGCGCAGTGGAAGGAAATTAAATGGATATTGAGTGATGCTTCACTATATCTACTATAGTGGGCTATTGTGAGCTAATTTTTTCAAACATTTTGAAAATCTTAGATTTAAAAAAGATAAAATTTAAAACCAAGACACTTATTACCAAAATTGGCTCAGGAAGAAGTATAAAATTGGAATAAATCATAACTATTAAAGAAGCCAAAATAATCCAAATTCTTCCTCAAAAGTTGCTAATATGTTGACAGTTTTATAACCATGCTTTATCAGACTTACAAAAAAAGTTAACCCCTATCCTAAAACACAGTTTTTAAAAGAAGAGCAAATATGAGCATATACAAAGCGACTTGACTTATTTCACAAAGCTGAGATAATTTTGACACCAAAACCTGGACAAGGATTGTATAAGAAAAGAAAATCATAGGTAATATCATTGATAAATACAGATGCAAAACTCCTAAATAAACCATTAGTAATTTGCACTCATTTAATGTACAAAAATAGCACTATATTATTTGTGGATCTAGGAATTCAAGGATTTTCCAGCATTGCCTGTTTATGGAGGTCTTGGGCATATAAGTAATCTTAAAATTCTTGGTAATAAAAGAGATTCCCAAGGAAATAAAAAATAGACTACAAAAAGTGATTTTTCTAGTTTTCTAGTCTAGAAAACTTAAAGTGATTTTTCTAGTTTTCTCTTTACTTAAACATCTTGCAGAGGAGACCTCAAAGGAGCAGCCAGTGAAATATGGGCAGGGCTGGGAAAGAGGGATGTGTGGTCTCAAGATAGCCGAGAGAAGAAAGTACACCAAGTGCCCACATGCTCAGACGTCAAATAAGATGAGGACTGATAATTCCTATTGCTTCTGTACTATGGTGGTCACTGGTTCTATGATAAGCATAAACTCAGTGGAGTGATGAGACAGAAGCCTAATAGGAATGGGTTGAAAGAAATATAAAGTGAGAAAATGGAGCTGAGATGACAGAAAATTCACTGAAGTGAAACCCTAAAGAAGAACAGTAAATGGGTTGGTAGCTTGACTCTTAAAAGGAATGGGATAAAAGAAAGATTGTGTTTGTATTTGTTGTTGTTATTTAAGAATGACAGATACTGCAGCATATTTGATACCAAAGGAAATAATCAGTAAGTAAAAGTTAAATGGTGCTGGAGAGACGAGAGATAATTTTGGGAGCACTCCTTCTCCTTCAGCCATAAACACCTTGCCAATTTCCAACTCAGGTGAAACTCAACTGTCTGCCACTCTCCTGAACTCAGCTAGGCTGAACACAGAGGAAGAAAAATACACAGCTGATCTCACTTAAAATCTGTGACCACATATCTCAAATGGGCATTTAACACCAACCAACAATCCTACCATATTTCCTTACGATGGTTTCTCCTGTCTCTGAAAACTTATTCATGTCCTTCTCCTCCTTCACTTTTAGTTGTTCACTATGTCTCATACATCACAGAGAAAATAGAAGCTATTAAACATTGTCTCATCGTCCCCCCACCAAATCCACCTGCTTTCTGTATCTGCCTTTTTTCTTGTCTCTCCAAGTGCTCCAGACTCCACTTCTTTATAACAGGAAACTGGCTGAAGGATAACTGCACACATTAACTCAGAACAAGTTAGGCTTAGAAGAAATAATAAACACAAAATAAAACTGAAAATCACTAAGCCCATATACAATAAAAATTTGAATAAAATTAATGAATGAATTCAATCTCCTTGAAAAGATTAGATTTGCAAAATTTGACATAAGAAAATTAAATTTGGTAGTAATAACATTATATGGTCTGGCTCTGTGACCCCACCCAAATCTTATCTTTAATTGTAATTCGAATTGTAATCTCCATGTGTTGGGGGAGGGAAGTCATGGGAGGTGACTAGATCATAGGGTTGGTGCCCCCATGCTGTTCTCATGAGAGTGAGTGAGTTCTCATGCTGTCTGATGGTTTTATAAGGGGTTTTTCCCTGCTTCGCTCTGCACTTCTCCTTCCTGCTGCCATGTGAAGAAGGACATATTTGCTTTCCTTTCCACCATAATTGTAAGTTTCCTGAGGCCCCCTCAGCCCTGTGGAATTGTGAATCAGTTAAACCTCTTTCCTTTATAAATTACCCAGTCTCAGGCAGTTCTTTATAGCAGCATGAGAACAAACTAATACAGTAAATTGGTACTGGGAGTGGGACACTGCTATAAAGATACCTGGAAATGTGTAAGCGACTTTGGACTTGAGTAACAGGCAGAGGTTGGAAGGGTTTGGAGGGCTCAGAAGAAGACAGAAAGATGTGGGAAAGTATGAAACTTCGAGAGATTTGTTGAATGGCTTTGACCAAAATGCTGATAGTGATATGGACAACAAAGTCCAGGCTGAGGTGGTCTCAGATGGAGATGGGAAACTTGTTGGGAACTGGACTTGGACTTTTGGTTTAATGCTGAAATAAGACTTTGGGGAACTGTTGGGAAGGCATAATTGTGTTTTGAAATACGAGCAAGATAAGATTTGAGAGGGGCCAAGGGCAGAATGATAGGGTCTTGCTCTGTGTCCCCACCCAAATCTCATCATTAATTATAATTCGAATTGTAATGCCCACAGGTTGGAGGAGGGACCCCATGGGAGGTGACTAGATTATGGGGGTGGTCCATCTATGCTGTTCTTATGATAGTGAGTTCTCAAGAGATCTGATGGTTTTATAAGGGGCTTTTCCCCGCTTCACTCTGCACTTTTCCTTTCCTTCCCCTTCCACCATGGTTGTAAGTTTTCTAAGGCCTCTGCAGCCCTGAGGAACTGTGAGTTGATTAAAACACCTTCCTTTATAAATTACCCAATCTCAAGCAGTTCTTTATAGCAATGTGAGAATGAACTAACATAATGCACCCAAATAAAGGTCAAATATGAGGTGCCATCATCAACAAAAATCTTAATTGTAAAATTTACACAGAAAAGCTGTCTCTCAGAGAAAATATTTTCAGTAAAATAAAAACAAAAATGGAAAGTAATATTTTAACTGCAAATATCCATCAAAGCTATAAACAAACATGAAAGTGCCGATATTTAGAAACAAAATCAAAACAATCTTGTACAAAAATATTGTGAAAAAATTGTCCCACAGAAAGGCCAAAATATCCTATACTAATGTGATGCATTTCTTCCCAGACCTTTTCCTATGTTTTCAGACAGAACAGTGGAGTCCGGTCCCCATTTCTTCAGTTTAGGATTCCCAAGCATTTGTAGTTTGTCAGTCCCATCTCTTTCTTGCCACTGCCACACCAATAGGTTCCTTAAGGCTAATAGATGTTCTAAGGACATCGTAAGAAGATGTCTAAGGTGAGAAACCCTGTGGTGGCAGAAAGAAAATGCTTGTGGCATTGGGCTGGGCATTGTCATGATGGATGATCAGCTGGCAAGTCTGTGGTTCAGATAGAAGACAGTTCCTCTAGAGAGCAGATTGAAGGCACAGTCCCTGGAGGTGAGCCATGTGAAATACTCTGTCTTAGGAAGTGTGGATAGTTGCCTGACTGGCAAGGTCTCTGGTCCAATGTGGCTCTGAGTACTCACAGCAGTCCTTTCTTAGACCTACTGGCCTTCCACCTTCTGGAGAGGGGCCCTCTTCTGGGTGACATTTTCTATATGGAAACTCCTGGTGTCCAGGCTGCAAATTTTGCCTTCCTTTCCTAGCCCCTGGCTTCCTTTGTCTGCTCTTTTTTGCCCTATACACTTCTCCAGTTTCTCTTGTAATATCCTTTAATGTTCATTAGCAAGAACCTCAGTGTCTCATTAAAAACTCAACTCAAATCACTTGCAGAGATCTCTCTTCCTCCAAAGGAGTCCTTCCATTGAAAAAAGAAAAAAATTTTCAAAGCAAAAGTAAAAAATCAAAGTAAGCTGAGAATTTATTTTTAAGTATATTTATAAAATAGTATTTAATATATTATAAAAATTGGATATATCAGCCAGCCATGGTGGCTCACGCCTGTAATCCCAGCACTTTGGGAGGCTGAGGTGGGTGGATCACCTGAGGTTAGGAATTTGAGACCAGCCTGACCAACATGGTGAAACCCCATCTCTACCAAAATACAAAAATTAGCCAGGTGTGTGGCAGGCACCTGTAATCCCAGCTACTTGGGAGGCTGAGGCAGGAGGATCACTTGAACCCAAAAGGCAGAGGTTGCAGTGAGCTGAGATTGCACCATTGCACTCCAGCCTGGGCAGCAAGAACAAAACTCCATCTCAAAAAAAAAAAAATTAGATATATAAGAGATTATAAACATATTTCCATGCCAATAAAATCGATTACATCATAATTTTAATGCCTACATAGTATTCTAATAAACTAATGCATTATATTTTATTTATACTATCTCCCATCTATGTTTTAAATTCTTCACTACTCTAAAATAATGGTACAATAAAAACTCTTACAGAGATTTCTGTACTTGGATGATATGTTTCTTTGGGTTACATTTCTAAAAACCATTTACCAGAAGGTTGGAAATAATAGATTATCAGTATGTTTACTGAATAACTCCGCTGAAAAGTGAAGAAAAGAATGGAGAAAAATGTGGAAAGAGGAGAAAGTCAATCTAGTAAAATTTATGACCATATATTTTTATTTTATCTCCTCTTAAAATGTTTTATATTAACTTTTGAATAGGTAATAGATGCATATGGTTAAAATGTTCTTGGATTTTGAAGAATATGTGGAAGTAATTGTCTGCCTGTCATATGTCTTCTAGTTCCCCAGTTCACCTCTCCCTAGTTTCTCATTTATCCTTTTAGTTATTAGGGTGAACCATGCAGAAAAGCCATTTTACAGATCAAACACAGTTTAAGAAAATATAATGTGGTTCTATTCAATATTAGATGCATATACTTTTTAAAACATATGATCATAATATACTCATGATTCTGCCATGTATACCAGGGTATTTTGCCATAAATCTCTTTTCTTAGTAGGGATAAAGTATCTGAAAGGCAGTTTTTAAAAATTAAAACTGTCAAGGAATGTTAGATAAGTGGAGTAGAGGAGGGGTGTGGTGTTATTCATTTCCCTAAAACAAGTAACAGTTTCCTTTAACTTGAAGAGGGAGTAACACTTTTGAAGTCTATAAATTACATAAACAAATGATAAGAAAACATATTGTATGAAAAAAATTTCCAACTAACAAAGTCCAGCGGTTACAGAATCCTAGAGCCCAGCCTCTGGCTGTGCAGACATGCAGGCTAGAGGGTGCTGTGGTTCAATCCTAATATATTTGTTCCAGTAGCCAAGATTTGAGAATAAAATGGGCTAGAGGCTGGGCGCAGTGGCTCATGCCTATAATCCCAGCACTTTGGGAGGCTGAGGCAGGCGGATCGCCTGAGGTCGGGAGTTTGAGACCAGCCTGACCAACATGGTGAAACCCCATCTCTACCAAAAATACAAAATTAGCCGGGGGTGGTGGTGCATGCCTGTAATCCCAGCTACTCAGGAGGCTGAGGCAGGAGAATGGCTTGAACCTGGGAGCGGAGGTTGCAGTGAGCGCAGATGGTGCCACTGCACTCCAGCCTGGGCAACAAGAGCGAAACTCCGTCTCAAAAACAAACAAACGGCTAGAATAGTTTTTGCACCAACAGAGGACTGTGAGTGAATAGGTTGTCTAAAACAAAAACAAAAACAAAAACCAAAAAACCAACCAAACAAAAAAATGGCTAGAATGGTTTTTGTGCCAATAGAGGACTGTGAGTGAATAGTTTGTCTATTGCTACCCAACTTCCTGAAGCAGCTTTTCTGATATAAAAACCAGAGTAAATGACTAAATCTTCATAGTTCCCTGGTTTGCCTCTCCCTAGTTTCTTACACTACTTACACAAAAGTAATAAGTAGAATAATGTCTTTTAAAAGAAAATTCAGATTATGGAACTGGAAGAGACCTTAGAGATCATCCAGGTACATGGGTATCAGTAGGTAATCATATCAGCATTGCCTGTGGCATTTTGTTTAATTGTCCAAACCACTGATTAATGGAATCCTATCAGTTAACAGATGAGGAAAATGAGTCCAAGGGCAGGAAAATAATTTTTCTTTTTTCAAGTTTGAACCCAGGCCTTGGACACTGCAGAATTAGAAAGTGATCCTTCATTTATTAGTCTTCCAGTCTTGTCAAGTTACTGCTGAGTCACCTTCCCTCAAAAGATTCTCCTTATTGTTTTCCCGTCAAAGCTTACCTGAAATCACTTCACCATGGTCAACTCTGCAAATCCATAAACACATTTCCTCACCCCAATCTCCCAAATAACTTTATTTGTATACAAAATAAAAATTATATTCATGTATTTGGTTTATTTCATTTGTTTATTATAGAGATAAGGTCTTGTTCTGTTGCCCAGGCTGGTCTCAAACTCCTGGCCTCAAGCAATCCTCCTGCCTTGGCCTCCCAAATGCTGGGATTCCAGGCATGCACTACTAGGCCCAGCCTTGGGTTTGTTTTGATCTTCCCTTGCCTCTCTGTTATACACTTATGTTTATTTCCTGACTTAAAAGTATTAGGTTGAGTGTTAAGCTGATTGTTTCAATGAGAAAAATGTGTTCCTGTGTCAGATTAGAAAATGGTGGTTGGGCTTCAGTGAAAACTAAAACTACTTAATCTGTAATTTACCTGAGCCATCATGCTGATGACCCTTTCCAATTATACCTCCACATCTTGGATAGGCATTGAGTAGAAATGCATTGGAATATTCTGATGTGCTCCTGATGTGAGACACCAGCAAAAAAATTTATCTTACTTCAGTAGAACGCATGACAGTTGACTGTAGAGTAAAAAATGATGGCTGGGCATCCATCTCAATGTCCACTCACCATATCTGAAGTACTCCTGGTCCTCAGGTGAACTCTTGCACACAAAACAAGGTAAAACTTGTTTTACCTTGTTTATCTATTATTTTGATAAATGGTGTGTAGTGCATTTCAAGCTAATTAAATAATGAAAATGTGACAAAATCAAAGTGGATCAGTCAGTTCAGAAGATATTTACTTTAGTAATTAAATGAGCTGAGCCAAAGTAAGTCATCCTACAAAGCACAGCCATCCCAACGGTTTCCTTTTACTGGAAGGTAGCCGCAGATATGTAGCAAGAATTCAGGCAACAGAAAGAAGAAACTTTGAAGACTTCCGTAAGTCTTGCACAGTATTCTCAAGGTGGAAGTAAAACAGTATGAGGAGAAATTTAAGAAGGAACAAGATAATAAAGGTAATCTGGGTGCCCTTGGTGAGGAGTGTGGTCAGTTCCCCGAGCTCAGTCAGGTGTGGTTGGTTCTAGTTCATTTGCAAATGATTATATTATATATAAAAGCAACAAGGATGTATCTGCTGTTTTACCAGTTTCATTACCCCATAAACAAGAACATACCTGGACAAAATTAAAGACTCCAGGTGCAACTTACATTCCTAACCCATACCACCTTTCTCTCAAATTGCTTGTAAGATCAAAGCAATGAAGCAAACAAGTGTGACTGGATCTGTGAAAATCCATCATTATGAATGGGAAAACATATGCTAATGTCTGGTCAGTGAATCAATCACATCTTATTTTAAGGACAAGACTGAGAGATTTATTGTGTGAATAATGGTTCAATAACAATTTTTTTTCCCAAAGCATTACCGCGACTGCTAATAAGCGGGAGTATTCATGCACAAAGACAAATATTCTCATGCTGAGAAGTTAAATATTGCTGCCAGTGTTTTCACTCTCAGATGACCCTTGCCATATGAATAAAATACGGAGTGATGGGGAAATAGGGAGGATAGATTATGGAATAAATAGCAAATGTTTCCTGGTGGCTGCTTTACATAAGATTAAATGCAATTACCTGTTCCTCTGACTCACTACAAAGTTTCTCAGTCCAAGAGGCAAGGTCTACACCTGGGATTTCAGGGAAGCCAAAGGGTCTTTCTGAATACTTACCGGCCATAATAGTTACCCACGATTCCCATAAAACTTTAGCACACATCAAATATAGTCACCTGAGAAAAAAATATGTCCCTAGAAAAGTCAAACCTGTTTAGGCTGAGGGGTGAAAATAGAAGGTACGTGCTATAGAAAGGGAAAGAGTTTTCACATTATACAATTAGAGGAAGTTTTCTTAGCTGAATTCAGGACACATTGTGTAATGAAATACAGCTAATAAATATGCAGTAGCAGAAGTAATAAGTATAAGTTCTTTGCTAGAAAAACAGGTGCAAAAGAGGCTAAGATCTTTGAGGATGGTTTTTTTTTGTCCCCACCATGGAAGCATTTAAGAATGCCCAAGCTTAGATCCCACAAGCTTATTCTGAGACAAAAGGTACTATACACTTCTTAAAATTACTGCACACTTCAGTATATCTTTCTGCCAGGGAAGACCTTGTATTACCATCAAACAGAATCAGTCGTATTCTTCCTACCTTGTATCCTATGTAAAACCACACACTATCTTCATATCCTTGAAGATGTAACAGGAAACTTGCACCCCAACCATGTGATTTCCATCATAGTAAGAATCTATTTCTAGGGATCTAAAAATGGATCTAACAATGACAAGCTGTATCAATTATAGAGTAAGAAAAAAACCTCGTTCAGCTCTGCTTAACTCACTTTAATATATATTTGTCTAATGTTTGATCATTTTTCAATTAGGAGGAAAATGACAAAAATAATATTTGTTTGAAAAAGTTTGACTTTATAGTAATTCAACAATAATCAAAAGAGATCTAACTTGATGTTTTGACCAGTTGGTATACACCAAGTGCATTGTGGTTTTTTAAAATAGTGACTCGTTTTAATATAAATTCTATTAACACTTTCTTCCATCCAAACAATGAAAGATAGTTTAGAAATTTCATTCAAGGGCATGATTTCTCTCAACCACTGGCTATAGTATAAGATGATTTTAGGCAAGAGATAATTTAGAAGGAATTTACAGAAAACAGACTAATGATTTTTCTAGGATAAACATGAATTAAAATCACATTTATTTTCTTATGATTTTCCCAACTGTAGCTATTCACAAAAACTTTCTAAGTTTTAGCTAATTGACTTTTAGTAATACAACATTTTATCCCACATTGAGACTAGAAAAAAACTTTCATCATAACAGTTTCAAAACATTTAAACTTTTGAATGAGCCAATGCCAGTCATACAGTCTTCATTATTCTCCACCAACATCTGGGAGAGTCAGTCCTTCAGCATGAGTTTAACAGGTTAGCTTTTTAATAACGCACTCCAATTTGGTCAGGTGACAAAACACGAGATGAATTTTTTTTCAGCATAGCAAATTAAACCCATATAATTTGTTAACAGTAAATTTTAGTCTGATTATAAATGTTATAGATTTCATGATCCCATTATAGCACAAATGAATTAACTTATATTTTCCATTTTATGAGTCTATTTTCAAGCCAACCATCTGAAATTACAGTATTTAATAGGAATATTTAAGAAGTATATTATTGTTTTAAAAAATATGCCAGATACAAAAGTTTTTGCTTAATTCTTCCTCTATTCATATTTAAGAAAGAATCTAAAATGTTTGGGAAACTTTTTAAAAGAAAATGTCTAGTTGCTAGTAATTACCCATTATCTAAAACTTTACATTTTAAAATGTTTAGCTGCGCACTGTCATGAGGTGTTTGGCAAGCAGTTTTGAAGCTCAGAGGCCTGAAACTCTCTGAATTGACATATTTGGTAAACAAAGTCTCTTTGAAGTGCCTTCCTCCAGTGATTCAGTCTGAATAATGTAAACAAGAAAATAATTGGTAACACAGAATTAGCTACCAGACTTCCTCTATCCTAAAATGCACTTTCCCCTTAAGCTGGCAGGGGGTGGCGGGGGCATGTTTTTGTTTGTCTGTTCATTTGTTTTTATTAATTCCCTCTTCCTTCAGGGAGACCTGGTGGGGCCTGGCACTACCAGACTCCTCAGGCCCATCATCTGCTTACGGCTTTCTTTTTTTGAGACGGAGTCTCGCTCTGTCTTCCAGGCTGGAGTGCAGTGGTCTCGGCTCACTGCAACCTCCGCCTCCCGGGTGCAAGAGATTCTGCCTCAGCCTCCCGAGTAGTTGGGATTGCAGGCACGCGCCACTACACTCGGCTAATTTTTTTGTATTTTTAGTAGAGACGGGGTTTCACGGTGTTAGCCAGGATGGTCTCCATCTCCTGACCTCGTAATCCGCCCGCCTCTGCCTCCCAAAGCGCCGGGATTACAGGCGTGAGCCACCACGCCGGTCCTGCTTACTGCTTTCTAAATGTGCCATGGCCCAAAAAAAGTAAAGAAACTGTTTTCATATTAGAGGTAAATCTTACAATCAATGATGTTTGCCTAATTGGCTGCGCTTACCAAGTATATTAAACAAACTCCTTTTAACCTCTTGCTTTCTTGAGACCTTGCAGAGAATGTGTTAATTACATTAACATTATTGGCACTAAACCATGACTTAAGTTTACAGGTGACCTTCAAATAAATATTTCTGTAGCCTAGAACTAGACTTTTACTGCCACCATAAAGCTTGCCTTAAGGAGAAGACATTCTTGAAAAAAATCAAAGTAGGCACAAATCAAAGAGACTCATTTTCTGTGCTGCAATTATTTTTCTTAGTTCCTCTGAGGCAACTAATCTGCTATTCAGATTAGTTGAATTCAAACCTTGAATTCTGAAATAGACAACCAAACAAGATGGTTTTTGTGCAACTAAATGACCAGCCATAAAAGACCAAGCTGCAACTGTAAACCTGAATGATTGACATATGTTCTTCTTTTCTTTATACTGGAAAACAAAGTTTTACCCAGTTCAGAATGCCTAATCAGCTGTTATAAAGACTTCTCAACTAAATAATTGGTTTATATTTTGGATTATTACCTGAAATAATATATGACTTGGTATACTTAAAAAGTAATGATTGAAATAATAGGTATTAGCCATCTTTCCATCAATTTGAGGATTTCCCTATTGTTTTTTAAACCTGGTTAACAATTCCCCTGAACTTTAATTAAAACAAAAAAGATATATGGTCATTTCACAAAGATAACTGTATAAATCAACCATCTCACCTCCATTATATATATAAAAAAAAAGCTAATGCAGATGGAGGCACCCCTAAAATTAGAAGACCTATATATAATGCCATGACACACGCTGCATAAGTAGCTTTGATGAGAAGCTGTATTTTTCTAGGGGTATTTTTAACCAAGTGAAGAGCAATTATTGGCCGTGGAAAGACAAAACTTGGTGTTGCAACACCTGGGATGAAGGCCCTGCTCAGTCCCTTATTAGCTAGGAGACGTCGGGTTAGTCACTTAATCCTTCTAAGCCTCATTTTCCACAGCTGTCAATTAAAGAAAAATAGATTACTTCAGAGAGTGTTTGGGGATTCAAATTACATAATGGAAATGTATATGCTTTGTAAATTATAAAATTATCTATGAATGTTACTTAACGACATTTTAATACTAAAATCTGGCTGTACAGGTTTTAGGGATTATTTAAATAATCGGAAAAGAAGGCTGGGCGTGTTGGCTCACGCCTGTAATCCCAGCACTTTGGGAGGCCGAGGCAGTTGGATTGCCTCAGGTCAGGAGTTCAAGACCAGCCTGGCCAACATGGCAAGACCCCGTCTCTACTAAAAATACAAAAATTAGCTGGGCGTGGTGGCTGACGCCTGTAGTCCCAGCTAATCGGGAGGTTGAGGCACGAGAATCTCTTGAACCCGGGGGGCAGACGTTGAAGCGAGCCGAGATCGTGCCACTGCACTCCAGCCTGAGCAACAGAGTGAGACTTGGTGTCAAAAAATAATAATATAATAATAATAATAATCAGAAAAGAAGAGCACCAGAAACTGAACTTGGCACAATTAAGTATGAAGCCCTCACAAGCCATGCTTGCTCCCAAGGCTGGTGGACCCACTCCAGGACCCCGTGCCCTCTGGCTGTGGAAGACGCACTCCATGGACACCTGCAGGCTGAGGAGACAAAGTTCAGGCTTCTTGTTATTAGTTGGCTTCCTCACTCACTCTCTGTGCTGGGTTCTGGAGATATAGTGAGCACAAAAAGCCAAGGCACCTGCCCTTCTGGAGCTTAGCGTCTAGTACAGGAGACACACATTTATCAAATAACCACTCAGATACCTAAAAACAGGAAAAAGCCTTTAAAGACAGAGTTCAGAAGTTCTGAATAGTGTGAGAGTTGGACTTAATCTATTTTTTGATGTTGTCACTGTGGTTTCCAGAGGAAGTCACATTTGAACTAAAATATAAAGAATGATTAGACAACAACTAGATTTGGGGAGAGGAGCAGAAATATTCCAGGCAGGGGGAAATGCCTTCTAAAAGGCCTTGAGACAAAAGGACCTGGAAGGTGAATGTGTTGTTGGAGCCCAAGCCTGGTGGCTGCAGCAGAGGCCAGCAGGGGCCGTCTTTATCTAAGAGAAATGGGTCTTCATTATAGGATTTAAGGGAGAAAAAAGATAAGATTACTTGATTTAAGTAACACTGTGGACAATGGATTGGGGGATGGGGAGCAGGAGTGAATAACAGGAAGTTTGATTAGTATGATAAGTTTAATTTGATGAAGAATGTGATAGTGTCAAAAGAAGTAGGAGTGATATCCCGTATCTATGGACATAGATTACAAGAGTTTAGGGATAAGTCTTCAGGGCCTTCAAATTTAAGGTCTCAGTAGAGAAAGATAAGACTGAAAGGAAGTGGTAAGAAAGCAAGAGGGACCTTTAGAGGGTTTGTTTGGAGTCAGGAAAAAAAAATGCTACTGAGTGGTCAAATAAGACCATGACTGAAGAAAAATGCTCATTGCATTTAGTGAGTGGAGGTCATTAGCAAGAACTATGTCAGGGGACAGATGGGGACAAGAGCCAGATAAAGACTGACAGGGATTAAGGAAATGGGATCAACTTGTTTTTAAAAATTGGTTGTGAAAATTAGAAGTAAAAGATCATAACAGCTGAGAAGAAAACTAGTGGGGAACTATTTGGGACATTTTATTCACCCCTCAAATTATAAGAGCCAGGTCACTTAGTTTATTGGTCTAGAATGTCTTTCTCCCTTCTACTTGGGGTAAAGTTGGTCCTATTTAGACTATAGCCTTAGAGAGTATTTGAGGAGGAGGATGGAGATTAGATGAATATATATATAGACTATTAAATTTAAAAGATGAGTGAGTTATTCATTCACTCACTACCAACAAGCCCCACACCAGGGCTTATGGTTTCTAAAAGCTGCTTTCAATGGTATGGTTGTGGAAGAACAAAAAAAGACGCAACATTTCTTCACATAAGTCTGGAGCTTCCCTCTCATTCAAAGACTTCTTTCCTCACAACTATGCACAGCCATGTCCTGTTGCTTCCTAACACCTCTTGTGGGTCCATCTCACCCATCTCTGTCTTCAATGACTTGGAAACTTTCCCCTTACCTAGTCAGGTAAGGGCCCTTGGGGCCCCACTACTTGCTCTGTCTCAGTCACCATGATTCAGTCTTTCTCTTACTGAGGGGAGACTTCCTCAAGCCTCTAGCCCTTGGTGTTATGCTAGTCTGTGCTGTGTTAACCAAAATGAGATTGCAGACCTTCTTGTCACTCTGACAGCTTTCCACTATGACTCACTGATAAGAAATCGCATGTCAGAAGTTAACAATTGGAGCTTGTCTTGCAGGTCCTGCTGATCCCAGCTTACAAACATAGGTTCAACACCTTCTTAGACTCTGCGGCCTTTTCTGCGAGGTTTCTTCTAGCTGAACAGACCTGTTGTAGGGAGTATAGTATATTCTGCAACTCTGATGTATTTTCTAAACGTAAATTTATTTTCCATTACTGACCTAATTTATTAGCTAGTTAATGAAAATAATGAGAATCCCTAAGGATCCCAAATACTTTATGAAATTAAAAAAAAATTAAAGAGTATTCTGGAAGCCATTTCCCTACTCCTGGGCTGCTGAGCTCTCAAGTGAATCTAGAGTACAAACATGAAGGCTATATCTGTGGGGAATGTGTTGGCTTCTGTCTTTGAAAGGAAACAAGACAAATAACTTGTACATGGTATTAATATATTTTCCAATTTGGAAAAAATCCATAACTTAAGTCAGAAAATTGTACATTGTAAAATAAAGGCTGGGCACGGTGGCTCATGCCTATAATACCAGCATTCTAGGAGGCCAAGGTGGGAGGATCACTTGAGCACAGGAGTTGGAGACCAGCCTGGGCAACATGGCAAAACCCTGTCTCTACCAAAAAAAAAACAAAAAACAAAAAACAAACAACAACAACAACAAAAACAGGCATGGTAATGTGTGCCTATAATCCAGCCCCTGTAATTCCAGCTACTTGGGAGGCTGAAGGAGGATCCTTTGAGCCCAGGAGGTCGAGGCTGCAGTGAGCTATGATTGCACCATTGCACTCCAGCCTGGGAACAGAGTGAGACCCCTGTCTAGTATAAATAAATCAATAAAATACAATACAAACCAGGACAAAAGACGTGAACAGATATTTTTCTGAAGAGGATAAATGGATGGCAAGTAAGCAGAAGAAAAGATACTGAACATCATCAACCATTAGAGAAATGCAAATTAAAACCACAATGGAGATCATATGCAGTGGCTCATGCCCGTAATCCCAACTTTGGGAGGCTGAGGCAGGCAGATCACTTGAGTCCAGGCATGTGAGACCAGTCTGGGCAACATGGCAAAACTCTGTCTCTACAAAAAATACAAAAATTAGCCAGGTGTGGTAGTGCACGCCTGTCATCCAGCTACTTAGGAGGCTGAAGCAGGAGGATCGCTTGAGCCTTGGAGGCGGAGGTTTCAGTGAGCTGAGATTGTGACACTGCATTCCAGCCTAAGTGACAGTGAGACCCCTGTCTCCAAAAAAAATTTTTAAAAATGAAATAACACTACATACCTAACAGAATGGCTAAAATTAAAATAATGACAACACCAAGTGTTAATGAGGATGTTCAAAAACTAGATCACATATACTTTGCTGGTGGGAAGGTCACTTTACTAGAAAACAGCTTGGCAGTTTCTTATACATTTTAACGTGCAATTAATATTCAACCCTGCAATTGCACTCTTGGGCATTTATCCTAGAGAAATTAAAACATATGTTCATACCAAAACCTGTACATGAATGTTCATAGCAATCCTTATTTGTAATAGCCAAAAACCTGAAACAGACCAGATGTCTTTCAACGGATGACTGATTAAACAAATGGTGGTACATCCATACCATGGAATACTACCCAGCAATAAAAAGAAACAAACTATTGATACAACTTGGATATTCAGATAATTGTGCTGAATGAAAAAAGCCAATCTGAAAGATTATATACTATATGATTCAATTACTGTGATTTTTTGAAATGACGATTTTATAAATGGACAGATGAAAGGTCTATATATAGAGCGAAGTGAGTGTGGTTACAAAAAGGCAACAAGGGGGATCCTTGTGATGACAGAATTGTTCAGTATCTTGACAGTAGTTGATATGGTTTGGCTCTGAGTCCCCACCCAAATCTCATCTTGTAGCTTCCATAATTCCCACATGTTATGGGGAGGGATCCAGTGGGAGATAATTGAATCATGGGGTTGGTCTTTCCTGTGCTGTTCTCATGATAGTGAATAAGTCTCATGACATCTGATGGCTTTAAAAAAATGGGACTTTGCCTACACAAGCTCTCCCTTTGCTTGCCACCAACCACATAAGACATGACTTGCTCCTCTTTGCCTTCTACCATGATTGTGAGGCCTCCTCAGCCACATGGAACTGTGAGTCCAATTAAACCTCTTTCTTTTGTAAATTGCACAGTCTTGAGTATGTCTTTATCAGCAGCATGAAAACGGACTAATACAGTAGATCGGTACCAGATGGGGGATGTTACTGAAAAGATACCTGAAAATGTGGAAGCAACTTTGTAACTGGGTAACAGGGAGAGGTTGGAACAGTTTGGAGGGCTTGGAAGAAGATAGGAAAATGTGGGAAAGTTTGGAATTTCCAAGAGACTTGTTGAATGGCTTTGACCAAAAGCCTGATAGTGATATGGACAATCAAGCTGATAAGTGATAAGGTCCAGGCTGAGGTGGCCTCAGATGGAGATGAGGAACTTGTTGGGAACTGGAGCAAAGGTGACTCTTGTTATGTTTTAGCAAGGAGACTGGCAGCGTTTTGCTCCTGCCTTAGAGATGTGTAGAACTTTGAACTTGAGAGAGATGATTTAGGGTATCTGGCAGAAGAAATTTCTAAGCAGCAAAGCATTCAAGAGGTGAGTGGGGTGCTGTTAAAGGCATTCAGTTTTATAAGGGAAGCAGAGCATATAAATTTGGACAGTTTGCCACCTGACAATATGATAGAAAAGAAAAACTCATTTTCTGAGGAGAAATTCAAGCTGGCTGCATAAATTTGCATAAGAGGAGTCGAATGTTAACCCCCAAGACAATGAGGAAAATGTCTCCAGGGCATGTCAGAGGTCTTCACAGCAGCCCCTCCCACTGCAGTCCTAGAGGCCTAGGAGAAAATGGTTTCATGGGCTGGGCCTGGGGTCCCCATGCTGTCTGCAGCCTAGGGACTTGGTGTCCTGTGTCCCAGCTGCTCCAGCCATGGCTGAAAGGGGCAACATAGAGCTCAGGCCATGCCTTCAGAGGGTACAAGCCCAAAGCCTTGGCAGCTTCCACGTGGTGTTGAGCCTGAGAGTGCACAGAAGTCAAGAAGTGGGGTTTGGGAACCTCCGCCTGGATTTCAGAAGATGTATGGAAATGCCTGGATGCCCAGGCAGAAGTTTGCTGCAGGGGTGGGGCACTCATGGAGAACCTCTGCTAGGGCAGTGCAGAAGGGAAATGTGGGGTCAGAGCCCCCAGACAGAGTCCCTACCATGGCACCACCTAGTTGAGCTGTGAGAAGAGGGCCACTGTCCTCTAGACCCCAGAATAGTAGATCCACCAACAGCTTGCACCATGCATCTGGAAAAGCTGCAGACCCTCAAAGCCAGCCAGTGAAAGCAGCTGGGAGAAAGGCTGTACCTTGTAAAGCCACAGGAGCGCAGCTGACCAAGACCCTGGGAACCCACCTCTTGCATCAGCGTGACCTGGGTATGAGACATGGAGTCAAAGGAGATCATTTTGGAGCTTTAAGATTTGACTGCCCTGCTGGATTTTGGACTTGCATGGGGCCTGTGGTCTCTTTGTTTGGCCAATTTCTCCCATTTGGAATGGCTGTATTTACCCAATGACTGTACCTCCATTGTATCTAGGAAGTAACTAACTTGCTTTTGATTTTACAGGCTCATAGGCAGAAGGGACTTGCCGTGTCTTGGATGAGACTTTGGACTGTGGACTTTTGAGTTAATGCTGAAATCAGTTGAGACTTTGGGGGACTGTCGGGAAGGCATGATTGGTTTTGAAATGTGAAGACATGAGATTTGGGAGGGGCCAGAGGCAGAATAATACAGTTTGGCTTTGTGTCCCCACCCAAATCTCACCTTGTAGCTCCCATAATTACCACATGTTGCAGGAGGGACCCAGTGGGAGATCACTGAATCATGGGGTGGGTCTTTCCTGTGCTGTTCTCATGAGAGTGAATAAGTCTCATGACATCTGATGGCTTTAAAAAATGGGAGTTTGCCTGCCACCATCCACGTAAGATGTAACTTGGTCCTCCTTGCCTTCCACCATTATTGTGAGGCCTCCCCAACAACGTGGAACTGTGAGTCTTTCTTTTGTAAATTGCCCAGTCTCAGGTATATCTTTATCGGCAGCATGAAAACAGACTGACACAGTAATAGTAGATACAGGGTACCTACATGTGATAAAATTGCATAGAACTACATGCACACGCACACACACACGAGTAAAACTAAAACTGAGAACATTCAGATAAGTTCAGGGGATTGTATTAATGTCAATGTCCTGGTTGTGATATTATACTACAGTTCTGCAAAATGCTACCATTTGGGAAACTGGGGAAAGTATAAAAGGAGTCTCTCTGTATTATCTCTTAAATTGCATGTGAATCTATGACTATCTCAATAAAAAGTTTCAAATAAAATCGAATACAAAGCAAATTCTTACCGCAGTCTGTACCATTTTTTGCTTAGATATGCCTCTAAGCAAAATGGTGATGAGGAATGTTCATTTTTAAGCAAATATTTTGCCATGCAAAGGTTAAGACAGCTGTGTCAATAGGCTACCCCACCACATGAACTGGAAAGTGATAGTTTAAACAGTCTTTTTATTCAGATAGTCAATGAATACTTTATATTCTTTTCAAATAACATGCCAGTAGCCAATTCACTATATGAAAACCACAATCATTAATTTTTTCCAAATCTGCTTTTTTTTTTTTTTTTTGGCAATCCACTTCTATGAAAATGTAGTAGGAATTGCCATCTGGGCAGGAGTTTGCAAAAGGCTCTTTAATTTGCCCAACAGAATGCTGACTTTGCTTTCTACACAAAGAGTAGTTATGTGAGGGGCTCCTATTAACCTACAATCCATAATCCTATGATTTTAGGAGCAGGTTTGGTTATGAATTCCCTTCTCTGCTCCTCTGCTCATAAACTCATCTAAGATATCCAAATCATGAGAAGGGCACTCATTCCTCCAGCTTCTCAACAGTTTGCCACCATAGCAATCAGATCACATTTTTAAAATCCCATTACTAACTCTAACACAGACACTTTCACAAATGTAATTTAACATTTTATCTTCTATTTTAGAAAGGGTTGTTCATAAGAAATAGCCATATGAAGACTTTTTCTGCATTTTTTAAAGTATGAATACAATGTGTTATCTTCTATATTATTAAGTGTCTCATATATAATGAGTTTTTTAAATCAGGAATTTCTTTTTCTTTAGTGTTGGGGAAAACAAAACACCCATTTGGATAGAAAAGTATAATTCCTTAGATTAGATAATGAGAAACATATAATCCAACATGATTTATTTTTGCCCTGACTGCCAAGAAACTCAGATGTTTTGTTCTCATTTACAACTTTTAGCCTAGCCAAAGCTGCTCTCTCCTCTTATTCTAAGTACATCATTATAATTTGTCTTAAAAGTTGAATTTTTTAAAATGTTGTTTAGATTTTAGCCAACTTGACTTTATTTGAATCCTGACAATTAAATAAAATCATTTTTGTAATACAACTTTAATTCTTTTTTACAAAAAGATAAACAATATACTTGAAGGAAATAAGCCTATTAAAAGAATATGTGAGGGTTACTTCTTGTGCTTGTGTTTCCACTCGAAAACTTAAGACTCAGCGATGTTTAGTTCCCCATTTTAACAATTTCATGTATTTTTCTTGATTTAAAACAAATTGATTGCTCAGATGTGAATCTAAATAACTAAGCCTAATTCATGTAGTGGACCTTAAAAAAAATAAGAAGAAAACACCCTGTCAGAGATTCTCCAGATGGTTTTGTTTCTGACGATAAATAAAATAAATGACTCGTGCATATATATATATTCTGCTTGGGTATAAGCAAAATCACATAGGAAGAAAACTTATGATCACTAAAAAGGTGTGTATTAATTTTTAAAATGACTAGGATGCAAAAGTCACCATTGAAAGCATCTTTTTTTTTTTTTTTGAGACAGAGTCTAGCTTTGTTACCCAGGCTAGAGTGCAGTGGTATAATCTCAGCTCACTGCAACCTCCGTCTTCTGGGTTCAAGTGATTCTCCTGCCTCACACTCCCAAGTAGCTGGGATTACAGATGCACACCACCACGCCTGGCTAATTTTTGTATTTTTAGCAGAGACGGGGTTTCACCATGTTAGCCAGGCTAGTCTTGAACTCCTGACCTCAGCTGATCTGCCTGGAATGCATCTCATTTCTAATCTACCAGTTTGCAAACCAAAAAGCAGTGATAAAGGACATCACATATTTCTTGGCTTTATGGAGCAATCTTTGTTCTGACCCTCTTCCAAGAGTTCAAGGACAGGTTTTAATTCTGTAACAGTTGGTCTAAGCTCCTGCCAAGAATCGTTTCCCAATTCCTCTCCATCTTTATTTCTGGTCTTATATCAAGAATGACTTTTATTAGAATTTTAGAAAACACTGGATATAGACCACTGGGCTATGTGATCTTCCAACCTGATCCTCTATCTCCCCTTTCAGAGGCCACTTCCATCTTGAACTTCTTAGCTGTGATTTTCACTGGTTTCTCTTGACAGAAGTTCCCAATGTCAACAGTTCTGGGTGGTAGATTTTGGTAACTTCTCTGGTTTACCATGGCTTTCTTTGATGAGGACTCTTGCAGGTGATAGTTCTAATAATGACCAATCTTTCAACAGTGTTCCTCACTTTTGTACAAATCTACCATGACCTTACATCTTAACTGAGGTCTGTTTGTGCAAGTACAGACCAATACAGGAAAACCCAAACATTATTACTCCGCTCATTGCAAAAACTCCAGACCTCTACCTTTTTGCCCATAAGCTTTTTGATCCCCTTCATCTTATTCCCGGATTCCTGCTTGATTTTTGGATGCATAACTGATGTGTTTTTTGTTTGTTTTTTCTGATTTTGACCTCAGCACATTTCCTTAGATATATACTATAGACTAAGCTCTCTGGGTACTTCCAATTCCTATAGCTAAATAGTAACGATCTTGTGTAGTACCCCATAAGCCTGTCCCACTCTCCCTTTAACCCCATTATGAGGCGCTACAGTTCTTTCAAGGATCATATTCAAAGCCTCTTATGAATGCTAATGTCCAGTCCTTTAAGGAGGCTAGCCCTAGTAAAGGTAGAGAGGAGATACTCAGAGCTGCCGCACAGACGTCTGCTTAGACACAAAGCAGAAATCCAATTCAGATATAAAGGAAACCTGACCAAACACTCAAATTCTCTTTCATTTTTCTTGCTCACACAGGGCACTCATCCGAATTGGATCACAGGAGCACCCTTAGCTATTTTTTGGTTCCCCCAGCTGGATAAATTAACTGAACTCTAATGGTCAAATAGGATACCGCTTATAAGATTGATTTTAAATATTTTACTTAGGTGTTCCTACCACAGTGGCCTGCTTTCAATTCCCCATGTACACCAGATTCAATTCCTCATATACACCAGATTCAATTCCTCATATACGCCAGATACAATCGCTTACTAGGAATTACACAATCTGGCTTCTATTCACTTCTCCATACTCATCCTTTGCCATTTCCCTTCTCACCCCAGCCACAGTGATGTTCTTTTAGTTTTTCAAATGTTCTCACTGGCATCTAGGAATTCATAGCTGCATTTGCTTTCAACTGACCTTTTATAGCCCCAGTTCTTATTCATCCTTAGGTCTTACCTCCCTTAACAACACCTCCTTAGCCCAAGTTTGAAATGTATAGTCCAACTGTATGTATACATGGTGTGGGGCTGTAGAGTATCATTATTTAACAAGAATTAAAATAACATTTGTTTAGCATTTTCAAAATGTTATCTGTTACACCTGGTTACTTGATAGTCTCTGTCATTAGACTGCAAGTTTTGTGAGGTCACAGGCTGTGTCAACATAGAAAATGGTCAATACGTACTTTTAAATGAATGAATAATCAAACTATAATTTTCCAATAAATCCCTCTAATGAAGTGTCTTACTTCTACTTAGATTGGCTACACTATGGGAATATTTATGTTCTTTTGTGAACATGAAAATCTTACCCTGCTGACCTTGTTTGACCTCACCTCCCTACATCAGTGTTATAGCTAGGCTTTGTTTTGACAGTGAGAAGTAAAATGGGGTGGCCTTGGTTTTGAAGTAAAATAATATCCCGAAATAAGAAAAAAAGCTCAGACAGCAGCTACACCACCATGATCACAGACTGAGCCTGTAGGCTTCGATTGAAAGATACTTGAAAAGCCATTCGGTTCTGTATCCTTTAAGTATGAAAACATTGATTTTGACAGTTTGTAGTTCAAAACACAGAAACCTCAAAGTTGGCAGAGAATATTATCTAGAAGGCAATGTCTTCTAGATAGGAATGAATTATCATCTCATTCCCACAAAATATCCTATCAGTCACTTTTGTTATGATTCTACCACACATTTGAAATTGAGAGGATTTTAATAAACAGTCCAATTTTTCCTCTTAACTTTAAAACAATGTTTTTGAGAGTCAGTGGAAATGACAATAAAGATTTGAATTTGTTTTCCTCTGGCCAACGCCAAACCCATTTTTGCAAAATCACCAACTGTGGTATGCTCTGCTATTTTCCCCCCCACAGAAATGTGTTTATGTAGCTAACCAAAATAGAAACAATCCCTGTAGTCAGTTCCCTTGGAAATGAAGAAAACATTGGCTCTTCCTTCAGAAAGAGGATGTTGGTCCATGGGAACAAGTACCAGCAGTGAGTCCTGACCAAAATACAGGGAGCACTGAGGTTTTTTTAAAAAATCAGATATTTGTATCAGAACAGGATTCAGCTACTTCAGAAGGTTTAATACCTGTTGAGAAGAAAAACATTTAAGTCTTGAGTTCATCACATCTAATTAATAGGTTCAGTTAATCAAATTTTTGAAGATGTACTATTTTACCCCTAAATCTTTTAGCAATGAAAAAAATAATCATTTTAACCTCTAACTTCAAAAATCTAGAACTTTCAAATAGTTTTATTATTAATGCAGGCAACTGCCCAAGCAAATACATTAATCTTATTCAACATCTTCAAATCCCCAAATATTGTCCTGAGACCTGAGATCAGAACATTCAAACCACAGATCCTACAATTCTCAGATTCGTTCTAAGGTCCTGGAGCATGTCTAACTCAAGAGCCAGTATAGTGAAATGGAGCAAAGGGATGGTTCAGTGAACAGTGAGACCAGCCCACTGGGAATCAGATATAGAAACAACTGTTAATGATGAGAAAGAAGAAAATATGGCCAATTCTAGACTTGAGTTGAGCCATAGACTATCTTAGGACACTAACCCAAGGAGAGATGTCTGAGGCAGATAACTCATTAGCATTCTTGAGTTGAGAGCAACTTGACCAAAAAGGGCCAGCCACAGGCAGGAAACGTTCTGCTTATTGCTCTGAGCAAAATGGTCTTCTTTTTACCTGTTGCACATCCATCATGTGTGCTATCTAGTGACAAAGCTGTCTTTTTATGCATCTTGAGGCCAACATCTGTGCCTTATAATAATCTATACTACCATGTAACAATGCCTGGCACAGAATAATATGCAAAATTTTTTTAAATGGATGAATAAATGAATGTCTATAACACTCAAGTTACAATACTTGAGCTTCAATGGAACAAATCACTGAAAAGTATACGTTTGGCATCATTCAAACTGTATATTTAGATTATATACAATATACAATTTGTTTCTTAATTAATGCCTTTGAATTCACAAATTTAAGGAAAACAGTAAGTCACCAACAGAAAAATGTGAGACCATGTCTTCTTATTTGGAGTATGCTGGTATTTAAATGGAACAATACTCAGCATTTTAAAACGCACAGTTTGGAGCTATTTCTGCTGTCTCATGTTTGCTTATCTTCATCCTTGTCACCAGCACAGTCACACCCTGTTTTTATTCTACAGCATTAGTTCACCGTTAAGCAAAATGTAGTGCTTCCTCTCTTTGGCAATCTTCTGTTCGAGCTTCCTCCACAACTACCCCCATCATGCTCATTAAAGCCACCTTTCACCATCACTGTTCAACAAAACATTTATTAGCAAAAAGAACAATATTCATTGGCTTTATTATCTCTGGAACATGACAGACATATTAGATTAACTAATCTTAAAACAATATTTTACAGATAATAAAGCTAAGAGTTTAGAAAACTTACATAAATTGTCTATGATCACATGGATGTCAGAGCTGCTGTCCTTAAAATATAAATGGAACTCAAAAGAGGGGTTAATGTGGGAGTAGTAAGTTTGGCATTGGCAGGTGACAACACATTGGTAATTGTTGAAGCTATGGAAATGCATGAAATAACTAATTTAGGGAGACAGCACTGAATAAGAATAAAGGATGCCAATGTTTACAGCAGCACAATCCACAACTGCAAAGAAAAAAAATTGAGCAATAGCACTGATTTTACAAAGAGGTCAGCAAAAGTGAGGATTGAAAAAGAGATTCTGGATTTGTCAATTATAAAGTTACTGGTAATTCTAACAAGGTCATTTTCTAAGAAGTTGTGGAGATAGAAGTCAATTTGAATAAAAAGATCATGAAGATAAGAGAGCAAATATAGACAAACGTTATACAAATTTTGGTTTCAAAGGGAAGAAGAGACAAAGCAGTAATTTGAGGTAAAGGCAGAATCAAGGGAAGATTCTTTTAGTCTTTTTTGGCTTGTTTTTAAGGGGGAGGAGACAACATATAAAATATGAATATGAAGCCACAGATAATTGACTGAACAAAGGCCTAAAGCGGGAGGGGAAGGATTAGCTTGGGGACATGAGGTGGGAGGAGGTAGTGGTGGGTGACATTATAAATACTGGAAGGATAGAGAAGGGAAATAATGGGCTTTATTTTATCCATGACTTCAGAGGTAACATCATACAGTTAAAATGAGAAAATGAATAGGATAAAGAGTTACAGGAAAATTGAAAACATTTGGGACTATCTTAGCATAGAAAAAGAAAAGAAACCAAAAATAAATAAAGGACTTCCTGGAAGAATCAAGAGCCCTGATGGAGAATGGGAATCACCATAAATATCTCAATTTTCCCTACAGAACCCAAGGTTGGCAAGTTCCCTGTCTTAAAATCATTCTTTCTAGTAAGAGGATTTGAAGATGGAAGCCAGATTGGCCAGGTCGGGAGGTTCCACTCTGTGAAATCAGCCGCATTCAAGACACAGTAAGGGTTTAAAAGCCAGATGCAGTGCTCAAGTGGTACGACAAAGTAAACGCCTAACTTTATCTTTGCCTTCTCTACCTCCGTCTCTTAGTCATTCCCAGAGTATGGTTATCCTTAACTTTCCTTTCTTTCTTCTTACCTATTTTTCCCCAAACTCTACCCAAGTTGTGCCAGTCATAAAAATTACAGCAGAGAAATGCATGTGTGTTGTTTACAAATCTATCACATGGTTGGTGAATATTTTTATTTTATGTTGTCTCAAGTCAATGTGGAGGATAGAAAGCCAGTCACAAGACTGAGCAATCATTCCTAAGACCTGCCAAGCAAAGAATCCTGTTGCAGAAATGTTGATGATGTGGGAGCACTTCGTGGTTTAACTGGGTTGCTAATCATAACATTGCAACTTTGAAGATTTTCTTTGGACTTGTAATTCCACATGTATTAATAGCACTCCCATGTCTACAATATGAGTTTAAAATCATTTTAAATTAACTTGCATCTATGTAGTAAAAAATTATATTTAAGTATCCCCCAACCCCAACACACACACATTCACCTTTAAAAATTATCAACTTCTCGCTTAGTGTTTTATTATAACTTTATTTTAGTTTTATCTTTTGAAGTATAAATTCACTTTATTCCTAAGAAATTCCTGAAAATAAAAACTTATTTCAAAAGTATCAATCTATAATGCTTTGTTTTGTTTTAGATCAGAGGTTTCATTTTAAAAGAAGTAATTTTCAAAAGCCATGAAAGTTCCTGCCTCATAGCCAAGTTAAAATAAAGAAAAACCTTTACCAGACAGCACTTTTCAAGCCATGTATGAGATAGTCTATCTACTTAAATAAATCACATCTGTTATTAAAAGACAATAATAATTTTAGTATTTACATTTTACATTAATTCTGTTAAATTATTTTTATTAATTTTTTTATTTCTTGTGATATAATTTTAATGGAATTTTACTGTAAGTTAAATAACCTTAACTTTCTCTTCTATTTCAGAGTACTTGCCTAATGATGAGCTCTCTAAATTTGCCATTTCTGGAATCTACACTAATTCTGTTAATACTTTTAGAATGGCCCGATTATAATTCTCGATAATGCTACAAACTTATTCATGCTACAAACGTAATTTGAGGACTAGCCGGACACTGTGATAGACATGATAATCCAGAAATGCACCCTACCTTTGCCCTGGAAAGCCTCTCTTCCCCTCTCACAGACCCTAACCCTCTGTGTGAGGGATCCTCAACGCCTTCTCCTTCAGAACTCGGCTCAAACATCCCCTTCCCAGAAAGGAGACTCGTGCACTGCCCCCATTGAGCTGTGACAGGTGCTCCCCTCACCAGCATGTACTTTGAATTACTCTTATAAAGTCATCTTGCTGCATAATAATCTACTTTTCTGATTGGATCCTTCACCCAAATGCAAGCTCCTCCAAGGCAGAGTGCATTTCTGGACAGCAACTGGGGATCCATGAAAAGGTCAATATGGCTGGATTTTTGGGTGCAAAGGAGAAGGGGAGGGGCTTATTCTCCCTGACTTTATAGAGAGAGTTAATTGAAGACTGAATTTTAATCCTAAAATTCAAGTTGCTTCCACATTGAAAAGAAAATTTATATCTAAGAGTTTGAAGTCACAGCTCCTCTGTTTTTGAAAACAAGATGAAAATTTGTCTTTTAATCATTTTTTAACTTAGGGAAAGGAAATGTTCAAAGAACAAAATTTTAAACTGTGGCGCCCTTCTGAGGAGGAAAGTCACATACAGCAGAGGGAGCAGAGGGTCCGCGATGCGGGCCGAGCAAGAAGCAGGGGAGCTTCAGGACTGTGAGTGAGTTCTTTAAGAGCATCAGGCTGCAGTGGCTTGACAGGGCTGTCCCAGAGATGTTTCCTAGTAATGAAGGAAAGCCTCATGAAGGGCTGTCTCCTTCCTGATTATTTTACTTTTAACCCAACACAACAAATAGAAGGCAGATTTCCCAAACACACCAAGGAAGTTGAATGGCCTGAAGAAAATCTGACATCTGCATATCAGCATGGACTAGCTCTCAAATACTTTGCATGAATAATAAATTAAAATGGCAGCTCAAGCAGGACAGGCAGATGAGAAAAACAAAAAAACGAAAACCCAAAAGCCTGGCCAGGAGATAAGTACCTGATAAAATCATTCTTTTCAAGGAATGCCAGGAACCCAGATTTGAAGGTTGACCATGTCAACCTCTTCAGTCTCTGGCTCCTCTCAAGAAAAAAATGTGATAAATAGATAAGACTAAATTATAATTAGCATTTCAGTAGTTGTTTATACAGTACTTCAAGGTCCTTAAAAGCAGTTCTTTCTAAGCCTCTTAAATGTTTAGGCATGCTATTAATCTGTGTTATAAAGATGACAACTTATTTAGCAAATGTACACAGCAGTCTAGCCAATTATGACGAACTTCAAAATAGCAGAGTCCAAACCAATAGACTTTATTGATGTGTGTTTGCCCATGCTACTAATTTAGCATTTGAAGTTAAATTTAAAAGCAAAGCGCTTAATGTGAAGCTGCATCAGTTATTAACTAATGACTTATACATTCTTACACATTAAGTACATATATACAATGCATTTTAAGATGAAAAGAAAACTTTAAATAGGCCGGGCGCAGTGGCTCAGGCCTAATCCCAACACTTTGGGAGGCCGAGGTGGGCAGATCACCTGAGGTCAGGAGTTCAAGACCAGCCTGGCCAACATGGTGAAACCCCATCTCTACTAAAAATACAAAAATTAGCTGGGTGTGGTAGCAGACCCCTGTAATCCCAGCTACTCGGGAGGCCAAGGCAGGAGAACGCTTGAACCCAGGAGGCGGAGGTTGCAGTGAGCCGAGATCACACCATTGCACTCCAGCCTGGGGGACAAGAGCGAGATTGTCTCAAAAAAAAAAAAAAAAAGAAAAAAAAGAAAAAGAAAAGAAAAGAAAACTTTAAATAGACTATAAAGTGTGATGAACTCCCTAGTCAACTGGCAAGTGCTCTCTTTTCCAAAAGATTCAAGCAGAGGAGGATCAGTCATCAGATAGGAGGTGTCCAAGGCTCCCACTGCTTGGGAGGCAGAACTCTCTAGATCTGGGAATCGCAGCTCTAGATAGGGGCCAACTCAGGAATTACTGTGAAGCCCTTGAAATCTTCAGATACAAAATATACCTCAAGACGTTCTAATAAAAAGTTTTGGGTAGAGTTCTAGAGACAGCAGATTTAAAACATGGGTGAGGCTCTGACAAAACTTGATGATAGTGCAGATAGTACACTTTGCTGATGATTTCAAAATCTAAGCTAAAGCACTGCTCCCAAACTAAGAATTAATGTGCTGCTATAAGCCTAAACTTATAAAAATCATTGTTAAACTCTGCTTTCTAAGTAAGACCTTTAGGGGTACTTTGACTCTTTTAGTTGTTAAAGCCAGTACTAAATTGGATATTATCTCCATCCAGCGTAAATGTGTTCACCATTTTATAGATGGGAAGCATGAAGCCAGAGAGATAAGGCATTTTCCCTACATCATACAGCAAATAAATGACAGTTTGTAATATAATTCAAATATCTCCATTCAATAACTAGAAACCACAACAGTCATATAGCTAACCATTCTTGAGCATGGTTTTTAATTCTTTACATGATTTTTTGTATTTATTTTCCAATCTATAATGTAGGTACTACTGTCATTCTCATTTCACATCTGGGGAAATGAAGCACAGAGTGGCTATACAGCCTCTTCGAGGTCACACGCAGCTAGTAAAAAGAGGCAGGAGTGAAATTCAGCCAGCCTATCTCCCCAGTCCATGGTCTTAACCACTATACTCTCACCCTTGATTTTTCTACCAACTTCCCCATTGTAACTGTTTGTGGGTGCTGTATCTATTAGATAACCATAAATGACCCAGGTGTAGAGCAAGTCCTCCAACAGTGCAAAGACAAAATGAAACCACTAGGGTGTCTTTTTGTCTAATTATCAATAACCAGGATCAGCCCAAAGGAGGCAAATGTACCCCCAATCCCCCAACTAGCCACAATTCTTGTCATCACTTGTGGTCTTTTGGTTCAGGGCCTCAGTGCTCTGAGAATTCCTAACTCTACCAGCATTCACATTAATTTTACTGAGGCATTCTCTCCATGTACACAGTTGTTTGTTTTATAGAAATGTAAACACATTTCACCACTCACTGTTGCTTAAATACCTTCTATGATATTCTTGCCAAATGGCCTGGAAATTTGAAACCTCCCATGGTAGCTCATTCCATGTTTGGACAACTTTAAATGTCAGAAATTTCTTCCTCTCATTGAAACTAAATCTATCTGTAGCTGCCTTTTATTTTCCCTAGTTAATAACTTTTAGGTTTAATCTGATTTTTCTTATTTTGAGCATTTAATAAAAATGACAGACCTTATCTCCAGGAAAAAAAAATTTAGACATGAATAAAAACTTGTACAATCTTTGCGGAATTGCAGTGTTCTGAAGGCCTATGAATGGTCTATGGACTTTGGACTTAGAAACTCTCTTTTAATAACAGCCCTTCAAATACCATAAGGCAAGTGTGTTCCCCCCCTTTACTGATGTACTGTGTTCAAGTACTTATACCTCTCTTCTCTCTCCACGGAATTGCATCTGCTTAGATTTTGCTGCCCATTTCAGCCCACGGAAACCTTTCTAAATCAAGTTCTATGATCTAATCTATTCACTTCCCCTCCTTGGAGTTGCTTTTAGGCTTCATCAGCATGCTCTAGTCTTTTCAACACAGCCAATGGAAAGATATGGGCTGGGAAACAGCTGGAAACAAAGCACTGTAGTTGGCAACTAGCAACCTGCCTCTCAAAGAATGTCATTCAGTGTAAGTAGGATGTGTCCAGGACATTTTTTGCAAAGATCATTTACTGCGACCAAAGTCCATGAATACACAAGGAAGTGTGCATATTTAACAAGCAGAATATAATCATACGCAGTTAACTTTATTCCCAATAGAGACCTGCTTTTGTTCTGTTTTCTTCTAGGTTGGCTAGGTCAGGAATTGGACTAACCAACTCAGGGAGTATGAAAACATGTGAGCCACATGATTAAGAGCTTAAGTACTGATTGCAAAATTTCCTTTTATAGTCTAGCATGTGACCTTATGAAACTCACATATTTTCCCAGGTCTGAAGACCCCAAAACTTTTAGCCTTCCTACGTACATAGAATGGCTACCCAGTGGCCATTCTTTTGGCTTGAAAGATTCTCATGGTCACTAATTTAAATGCCATGTTTGGTATTAAGGGATACTTTAGTAGTTTAATTTACTTGTTTTAAAATAAACTTTTTCATGGCTTTGAGGGCAACTTTTACTTCTAGTGTTCTAGAGTTTTATGGACAAGTTCACATTCACCCTGTCCATGTACTCCATAGATTTTATAAATGAAGTCATATCCCTTTTAAAGTTTATCACTTCAAAACTAAGAGTTGTAATGAAGCCAGCATTGAGGAGTAGAAAGAAAATTGAAAATGATCTGTCAGGGGACCCTATTCTGTTATTAACCACCCAAGAAATTGTGGACAATTAAATTATCCTTTCTGGGCCCCTTATTTCTCATATGTAAAAAAAGAGGTCGTGACTTCTTCTCTAAGGCCTCCTCCATTTTTCAAAATTCTGTCATTCTCATTTTCTTAAATTAGAAGGGTGCACTAAACCATCAGAAGTAAGACAAACAGGCCAGGTGTAGTGGCTCACGCCTGTAATCCTAGCACTTTGGGAGGCCGACGTGGGTGGATCACTTGAGGTCAGGAGTTGGAGACCAGCCTGGCCAACATGGAGAAACCCCGTCTCTACTAAAAATACAAAAATTAACCGAGCATGGTGGTGGGCGCCTGTAACCCCACCTACTCAGGAGAATCACTTGAACCCTGGAGGCCGAGGTTGCAGTGAGCCGAGATCGTGCCCCTGCACTCCATCCTGGGAGACAGAGTGAGACTCCATCTCAAAAAAAAAAAACAAAAAACAAAACTAAGACAAAGAGTAGCATCTGGATTCCTTTCTGTGCATTAAACTTCAAAACAAAGTATTATTTTAATATACAAGGGCTATCATACAATATAATTTCATTTTATTCATGGTACATAGTAGATCACAGGATACAATCCCTCTAACCCAGTGGTTCCTAAACTTGGTTGCAGGTTGGAAACACCTGGGGAATTTTTTAAATGGCTTTTGCCTAGATCTTACTATATTAGCCCATGTTCACACTACCATAAAGATACTACCTCAGATTGGGTAATTTATAAACAAAAGAGGTTTAATTCACTCACAGATCTGCATGGCTGGGGAGGCCTCAGGAAACTCACAATCATGGCAGAAGATGAAAGGGAAGCAGACACCTTCTAGGCATCAGGAGAAAGAACGCCAAGCAAGTAGGGGAAGCCTCAACCTTTAAACCCTCAGATCTAATGAGAACTTGCACAAGAACAGCATGAGGGAAACCGCCCCCATGATCCAATCACCTCCCACCAGGTTCCTCCCTTGACACAGGGAGATTACAATTCGAGATGAGATTTGGATGGGGACAGAGAGCCAAAATCTTACCCCCAAATCGTCTGATTTAATTGGTAAAGGGTAATAAGGCCTGATAGAGCAGCAAGAGTATAAAAACTTCTGCAGGTGCAAACAGTTGTTCAAATCCAGAGTCCTCAATTCTGGCTGCATACAAGAATCACTCGGTGATTTTTCACACCTGCCAATGCCTAGCCCCACCTCCAGATTCTGATTGAATTGGCCTGTGGGACCTGGGCCTTGATAGGCTTTAAAACTCTCCAGGTGGTTCTGATGTGCAGTCAGCGTTGAGAACCATTCTTCTATTCCCTACCACACAAGTTCTATCTAGTTGATCATCCTGACCTCCTACTCCATCCCACAGTGGCCACTCATTGAATGAAAGAACCTTGGACCTTATTAAAAGGTACAACTCTACCTTCATTATATCAACCTCGTGCCAACTTCCTGCTTTTTCTCTAGAATCATAAGCCTTTCATCTTGTCAATTAACCAACGCTCCCTATCCTGTGACTTGACCTGTTTTTTGATCTCTCAAAAGCTTCTTTTCAGATTGCAACCCCGCTCCTTTCTATCACCTCCTGTCTGCTTCATTCATCACTCTCTCCAGTAGTTTGAGTGCTTTTGCCCATTACTTCAAACTTCCGGATTATCCTGACCAAATTTCTCCTATGATTCCAAGCAACTACTATTAAAGAGAATCTAAAAGACACATCAAACTGAAAAAAATCTCATTATGGCCAACAAACCAGCAAATGCTGGGCATAATATAGCAAGAGAATTAAAAACTCACACACATGCATTAGAATGATTTATAAAACTATGACACTTTCTTCCATGGAAACTTGGTTGTAGTTTTGGCCATGTGCTTTAAGAAATATAAGGATCAACCCAGAAAAAGAACAGAGATGAGAACTGCATATTATCAAGGGAATTAAGAAGTTACCAAAAGAAGATGAAAGCAAAAGTTAGAACTTTATTATAGAAAAATGCAGGCTGAGGGTGAATCACTTGTAAATGGGGACTAAAATTATATTGTTTCAACTATGGAATACAAAGGTGAAAAAAGAATGTTCTAGGAAAAATGAAAGGTAATATCACATAGTAATTATTTTTAAAACCCTAAAGTGCTTGTATAAGGTAAAAAATAAATAGGTTTGCTGAATGCTTAGGTAACTTTGATTTTTTTTTTTTTTTTTTTTGAGATGGAGTCTCACTCTGTCGCCCAGGCTGGAGTTCAGTGGCACGATCCTGGCTCACTGCAGCCTCCACCTCCTGGGTTCAAGCTATTCTCCTGCCTCAGCCTCCCAAGTAGCTTGGGACCACAGCTGCGCACCACCACGCCCAGCTAATTTTTGTATTTTTAGTAGAGACGGGATTTCACCATGTTGGCCAGGATGGCCTTGATCTCCTGATCTTGTGATCCGTCTGCCTTGGCCTCCCAAAGTGCTGGGATTACAGGCGTGAGCCATTGCACCCAGCCAAATTTGATTATTGATTGAGGCATAGCGGAGTTTGCAGAATGTAAGAAAAAACATACTAACATGCACCCACTGTCCTGCACCCACTGTCTGGCACACCCCAGTGAGATGAACCCGGTACCTCAGTTGGAAATGCAGAAATCACCCGTCTTCTGCGTTGCTCACACTGGGAGCTGTAGACCCGAGCTGTTCCTATTCGGCCATCTTGGCTCCTCCCCCAGGGAGACCTTTAGGAGTTTTTAAAGCATCTTCATATGCATGTTCTTCTTCAAGTCTTATAGAAAAATCAGAAGTTAGTGGTGTTCTGAATAATTTGAGGCCAGTATTGTGAAGGCATCCATCATCCGCTCCCACAAAAGTGCCTTTAAGATGCTGTCTGAAAGTCATACTGTGCCAGCCAGACCTTTACTCTGGTGGTATTTCTATTCTTGTGACCAGAGGTGAATTTACCACGAAGCTAATGAAGCTTTAAGGTTTAACCTCCTTTTTTGCAAGAGGTTCTTTCCAAAGCCCTCAAGAGCCTGGCAATGGTTCCCATAGTCATATGTTTTTGTGAAGTGGCAAACATAAATTATTGTTATTTGTTGTAATTTTTTATCTTAAATATTTACTTTTGTACATACTCTGTATTGGTAATTTTGTATTATTTTTCTTAAAGATGGAATATGTACTCACTTCTGCTTATGATCCATTATTACTACATCATAGTGTCCTGCTAACCACTGAAAGACCATTAATATCCCCTCCTCCTTCTCCATCAACACTCAGCCTTTGCATTTTAGCCATTCCTTGCTCTCTCATCAGCCATCTTCCTCATTTCTGATGACGGCCTCCTCACAGAGAATGTCTTTCCAGAGAAGACACAAAGCATTAAGTAAAGCTTTCCAATTATTCTTTTACTCTCTAAGTGGTCTTTCCCTGTACCATTTCTCGTCCTTTTCCTCCATCTTACAGAAGTTGAAGAACTGGACTTCCACATCGGAACTCCAACCTCCTCCTTGAAGGACCAGCTCTCCCCTCTCAGTCCAGTCACCCTCCCTTCTCTTGCTATGACGGAGGGAGTGGGGGCTTTCCTGCTGTCTTTGGGTACACTCAGCGTTTTCAGCTCTTATGGTCTCATTGAGCAGTTTCTCTCTTCTGATTTTCCACGTCTTTAACCAAAAGGAAAAGTACAGCAAAAACTGAAAATGCCTTTCATCCTGAGCTGTTTTGGCACAAACGTCCCAGAAGGAAGGGAGGGAAGAAGATTTGTAGCAGCTGATCCTGGACCAAGCCTGGGAGCATCTAGTGCTTTCCCTCGCTGTAGATGTTGCCAAAATATACAGTGAGAAACATAAAAAGGAGAACAACAACAACATGATAGTTTTGTGTCCTCCCCCCCGCCCCGCACAAAATGTGGTTTAGGCACACCTGGTTCTAAAGTCAGCCTGAGTTAGATAGAAAGGGCAGTCTGGGGATGCGCGTCCCCGAGGAGGGTTTCTTTACACACCCCTGCGTGCCATAGAACCGGGTCAGAATCACTGCTTAGCACTGATTCCAAAGTTCAGCCATGAAGATTTGACTGTGTTCACACCACACTACCCACCCAACACAGAAAAGGGGTAATTTTTATTTAGCAAAGATTTCATAACACAGGCTTAAGCACAAAGAGCTGTAGTACTTAGAAGTTTGTCTAGAAGATGTATTATGTAGATTATCTCAGAATATTTTCGTTATCATGGTTTATTCTGCATTAACTGACACTTAATACTAACTAGTGGTTCTGCAAAATGTTTAAAATATGTTATAATGCTATAATCTCTTAATTTTCTTCCCAGCAAAAACTTCTGTTTAAATCAGATTAAATAAAGATTTTAATAAAAAGACATTTAAATAAGAGTTCAGGGTGGGATTAGCATTGTGGTGGAACAGAAACACACAGTCTGCCAAGAGAAAAAAAAACAGTTGAAGGGGTTTGAACTTTGCCCTAGATTTCAGTCTATGAATTTGCAGTACTTTAATATGGCTTATTTTGTTCAACCTAAAAAAATCCACAATGTTTATAACAGTCCAAGAGAGTGAAGTTTTTGTTGCTAAATATTTAGTACAATAAAATATTAATGCTGTGCTAAAGTTATATGTTTTCACTTATTCAAGAAAAAACTGCTGATTTCCTGGGTGCAAGAGATTTAGTAATTAAAATAAATTAAATTACAAGAAAATGCATAACCCTAGATATTTTTTCACATGCCATTTGATAGTTCTCCAGTACTAATTTGAGTACTGCTGTGCGGGGGATTTAGAAAGAGCATACAAATAGTAACCAAAGCCTGAAAATTCCTGACAATTTTTACATTCTTAACATAGAATCATTTTTGTTAAGTGCATGTATCTTGATTTTTGCTCACTCATCATTATCACCCTGGCCACTTAACTTTCAATATTAATAAGGTGCACATTCACTGAAAATGCTGAAACACAATGATATGAGATAGTCATGCAATCTCTTGCTTGGAATTACCTAACAAAGAAAGCTCAATGACTAATTCAGAATTTAGTCTATTACTAACATTGGCTATTTTCACTCTATTCTTTACCTGAGTTCTACAAGGCTACCTTGCCTGTAACATGAGAAAACAATTGGCCACACAAAAATACAGGTCATATTTCCAATTATATTATACTAAGGCTTACAGCATAGCATATGCATGTCTGTAAAAGACAGCCAAGATATACAAGCTGAAAACAATAACCAACATGACGACACTTTCCTAAAAGGATTGGACTAGTTCCTTAGAGTTTATAACAATGGAAATGAACTCACATTTATCAGCCATCAATGCCACTTAAGGCATATACACACTGAAAGGGCATTGTGGCCCAAACATCATGGAACACACAGCACAAAAAGTTGGGCAGACCCACCTCCTTTATAGCAATAGCCACAGCAATCATCTTTCGAATCTCAGAGAAATATACCCGTACACCAGTACTCACCAGGTTAGTAAATATTTGTTACAAAGGGTTGAAAACAGTTTGATATATTCTCGTGTCTCCTTTTTGCCCACTGTACCTTGCTGCCCTTTTACTTCTCTTACTTCTGTGCTTGGCACATAGTTGGGTTTTATGTATGGTAAGCATGCTAGGAAGAAAAGTGAATAATTTGGGATACAATGTAGCTAGGTTTAATTCTTAAAAATTAGAATTTTTAAGGATATTTGAATTGGGAGAATTATCCAGAGGGGAACTCTAAAAGATGACCTATTTTTAGTGCAATTCAAAAAGGTATCATTAATTAATTGATTCATTAATTCATTCAACAAATATTTATTGGCTATCTTTTGTATACAAGGCATTATGCTATGCTCCTATGACTCAGTGATCAAGGGGACTGCTATGGTTTGAATGTCTCTTCCGAAATTCATTTTGAAATTTAATTGCCATTGTGATGGTATTAAAAGATAGGACCTTTAAGAGGTGATTAGATCAGGAGTGCTCTGCCCTCATGAATGGATGGATTAATGCCATTATCATGAGAGTGGGTTACTTATTGTGGGATTGGGTTCCTATAAAATAATGAAGTTTGGCTCCCATCCTCTCTGTCTCACAAGCCTGCTTGCTCTTCTACCTTCCACCATGGGATGATATAATACGAAGGCCCTGGCCAGATGCTAGCACCATGCTCTTGGTCTTCCCAGCCTGCATAAATAATAAATAAATAAATTTCTGTTATAAGTTACCCAGTCTCAGATATTCTGTTATAGTGGCAGAAAACAGTTTAAGTCAAGGACAAATGTGGACACTGATCTCACCGAATTTACATTCTAGTGGGGAAAATAGTTTTTTTTTTTAAAAAAAGAGCACATAAATAATGACATAATTGTAACTGTGATCAGTGCTAAGATGGAAAACAACATTGGAGAAATAAAAAGGTGAGTACTCAATCATGCAGGACCTTGTAAGCCATATCAAGAATTTCTTTTGTATCCTAAGAGAAATGGAAAATATTTTAGGATTTAAATCAGGTATATAATTTTTTTTTTTTTTTTTGAGACGGAGCCTTGCTCTGTCTCCCAACCTGGAGTGCAGTGGCACAATCTCAGCTCACTGCAACCTCTGCCTCCCAGGTTCAAGTGATTCTCCTGCCTCAGCCTCCAGAATAGCTGGGATTACAGGCGCCCACCACCATGCCCGGCTAATTTTTCATTTTTAAAGACTAGTGGTCTACACGTAGAAAAAAATTGAGAGGATGAGCAAAGCAAGATGAAGGCACGAGTGTGGGTGAAAGTAAAGGTCCAGTTGGGAGGCTATTGCTATAGTTCATGAAGGAGATGGTGGCAGCTGAGCCAGAAGCATAGCAATGAATATATGAAGAAGTAGACTGTTGCAAGGTTCATCTACAAGGTAATGCCTTGACAGGTATTTTAAAAGAGACAAGAGTCAAGGGCAACATTAGCATTTCTGTTATGAGCAATTGGGAGAATGGGGGATGGGGAAACTGAGACTATACAAATGAAGAGTAGATTTCAGGGATTAAAAAATGAGTTCAAATCCAGACATGTTAAAATTGAGATGTATGAAAGGTGTCCAAGAGTAAGTAACATTTACTTAGTAACACTTACTAAGCAAATATTGTAGGTATGTCTTTGGAGCTCAGAAATGTCTGTGTTTAATATTGGTGTATATTATGTATATATCAATCTCCAAGTCATTGGTGTATACATAACATTTTTTATAAGCTGTGGGAGTGGAGGAGACATCATAGGAAAAGAATGTAGGATTAGAAAGAAACAAGGGTCCAAGACTGGTCTTTGAAGAACTCCAATTTCTAAATAGAGAAGGTGGCACTCCCAAAGTAGAATGAGAAGGGTTGGCCAGATGGGGTAGCAGGAACACTCGATTTTTGTGTTAGAGTAAGTTGTGTGTTACAGATGCCATGGAAAGAAAGACTATTAAATGGGGAGAATGATCACTCAGGGAAAATCAAGTATGGGGAAGATTGGTAATACATATTGGATTTTGTAATACGGATACCATTGAGATCTTAGCCAGAACAATTTGAGTAGTGTGGTGAACTGGGGGAGACTTAGCTATGAAAGGGAAGTGAAGGCATTGGGGAAATGTGCACAGACAACTCTTTCTAGAAGTCCGATCATGGGTAAGATCTTGAGGTTCTATCCTGGGTTATGTAGCCTGCATTTCTCCATTTGTAAAATGAGGATGTGAATATAACCATACTCAGAAAATAACTTGAGAAAAACAAGGGTAAATCCCTGTGCTTGGCATCATTCTGATCAATTAAGTTCAAATAAGATTTACTGTGCATGTGCTAGATTCCAGGATAAAAAGATAACCAAGATGAGGTACATTCTTGCCAAGAGCTTATGATTTAATGAGGGAGACAGAATAAAATATGTGCATTTAAGAAAATGTGAAGATGAAAGTACATTTGAAGATGAAAGTACACACAATGTATTATGAGAACAAGGAAGAGAACATTTCTCAACCAGGGAATTTGAGAAGCTTTCTAGAGAAAAAGACACATGAACTAAGTTATGAAAGAAAAAAATAGGAATTACTCAGGTGGTGAGAGGAAGCAAAGATACACCCCGGAGGGAAATTACGAACACAAGTAAAGGCCCAGAGACATAAAACACAATTAAAATTCTTCGTACACCCTGCCCATGTACAGGGAATCTACAAACACATCAGTCACTAGAATATATAGTTGCAGTATGAGAGTTAAGTCTGGAGAGGCAAGCTCATGGATCATTTGTGTGCCATGTTAGGAGGATTTGACTTTATACTCAAGTAACTGGGTTCAAATCCAAGATCAACAACCTGTTAGTGCTGTCATTTTGGGTGAGTTACTTAAACTTCCTGAGCTTCAATTTCCTCAGTGAGAGTGTTTATTTTCAATTTCTTTAAATGAAAACTTAAATAATACCTACATCCTAGCAAAAATGTCATTAACTCTCAATTAAGGTTAAAAATTGTTATTAGAGAAGGACGTAGCCTTAGACAATTTCATCCAATCTATTTATTCTGCATATAAGGAAATTGAGTGCTAGGGAGATTGATAACTTATCCAAGTTAATGCCTTGAAGAAGCAGTAGAATCTAGAGCAAATCTAAGTTCTGTTATCTGTTGCTATGACACTACTGTATATTTCTTTCTTCCAGAAGTTAAAAGCTAAAGCAACCAACAGGTGAAAATGCAGGCAGAGGACAGGTTGTCCAATGTCAAAGAGCCAGTAGAAATGCAATTTTCTGATGTTGAGCCACAAACTGAAAGGGAAAATTAAGACAGGGACAAGAGGCCGGGTGCAAAGGCTCACATCTCTAATCCCAACACTCTGGGAGGCTGAGGCAGGAGAATTGCTTGACCCCAGGAGTTCAAGACCAGCCTGGGCAACATAGTGAGACCCTGTCTCTACAGAAAAAAATTAGCCAGGAGTGGTGGTCTGCATCTGTAGTCCCAGCTACTTGGGAGACAGAGGTGGCAGGATTGCTTGATCCTGGGAAGTCAAGGCTGCAATGAGCTGTGATCGCACCATTGCACCCCAGCCTGGGTGACAGAGTGAGATCTTGTCTCAAAAAACAAACAAACAAAAAAACAGGGACAAGAGGTGAGACATGGTAGCTAGCTACCCTAGTGTAACTTACATATATATGTGTGTGTGTGTGTGTTTGTGTGTGTGTGTGTATGTATATATTACACTAGGAAGGAAAATATATCTGGACATCTATATCCAGGTATCCAGATATTTTATATATATATATATTATATATATATATATTTTATATATATATATTATATATATATATTTTATATATATATATATTTTATATATATATATTATATATATATATTTTATATATATATATTATATATATATATTTTATATATATATATTTTATATATATATATTATATATATATTTTATATATATATATTTTATATATATATATTAGATATATATATTTTATATATATATATTTTATATATATATATAGCAAGAAGCGTGGTTTTGACAGAAGCCAGGCCAAGCTCATAATATTTCTGTTCATCCATTTACTAGTTATGTGACTTGAATCAACTATTTTCTGTATCTGTAAAATCTGAAACTGATGCCTTACTGATTTCTAAAGAAGCCCAAATAAGTTAGCATGTATGAACATGCTTAACCATTACCCAATACACAGGAGACACCTAAACATTTTTTAAAATTCTTTCTAACAAGAATACTAGGCAGACCACCACAGACACAAATTGAGTATACTTAATAATATATATACCCAGACAATTTATTCTTAAGACACCACAGAGAATCTGGAAGTGGGCAGTAGGCTATTTTATAGACCATTTTCTATCTTCCAGATTCTAGACTGACATGGCAATTCCTGGACAGCTGATGTCATGCTAGTCATATGCTCAGAGACCAAAGATCAGAGTCTGTACTGCCCTTGGTGGTACCTTTAGCTAACAAGAAAGGGACATGTGATGGGTTAGTGAGGCAGGTGTGGCACCTATCATAGAAGTAAATACAACCAAAGGTAAGAAAAGTTGAAACTGGGTAAAGTAGAGAAGGAAGCAGTCCACCAATGCTCATCATGTCAAACACAATAAGTGCTTTGGCTGGGCAGACATAAAATGCTTTCTCTGTAATTATTAGCAGCTGTTGCCTGAGAATTATTTTGAGCTTACTCCAATATAAAAAGTAAGACAGGACGAGTAAGCACTTTTCTTTAACTGCATGACCTTTAAGGAAGAAACCAGAAAGCATAGCGATTTGCTTGAAGCAGCCATAGGAACTATCTCCTTAACCTTCACATGACTTGGTACAGTCCAACTCCCCGACGAAGAAAGCAGGGATCTTGACAGAACAAACTTTCAGCAGAGTGTACATGAAGATTTGAACCGTGTTTCATTGCTGCTTCTTTCCTTTGCTGAAGTCCGCTAACTTCTCTGTCATGGGCATTTGCTAACACATCTCTTGTTGGAACAGCAAAGCAAAAAACAAAGGCAGACAAGCTCGCCACATCCTTTTAATCTTTAGCCTTACAAATGTTTTGATTTATCAAATTCATACCACCTGATACCTCTCTTTGCCTAAGATTAGACAACTAATTAAGTGTCTAGAGTGAGGGCAAGAGAGAAGTAGCGGAATATAAATACCAATTGGGAGCTTTAGCTCCTGGGTAGGTGGTGGTGAAATTAGCAGAAGTAGAAATATGGAAGGACATAACGGGGAAGATTCATTTGAATGCCCCATAGGACACTGAGTTTGTGCTGTCCATAAGTACTTAGATATACATATGGATCATCAGCCGAAATAGAGAAGTAACTGAACAAGATCAATACAAACCTACAATACAATGCTAGGAAGGCACCAAAAAATTGTGTGTAAACTTCTCTGTCTCTAGAAGTCAGATTTGCTTAGGAATTCAAGTAGGAACTGTAGTGGTTTGGAAAGCATGTTTCTATCTTACCAAAGGAGGAACAGAAGATGACCGACCACAAAATTTGAAGAAGATAGACTGATTAACCTGGGGGATAAGAGAGATTTTCTAAGCCAAAAGATTGAGATCTTCACAGACAGGTAGAAAGATTAAAATGCCATCTTGAAGACCAGAAGAGATTGATATGACAGGGAAAGGACACCCCCACCTTCACCTGCCCTCTTCAGGGGCTTAGAAAAGGGGAAGATGGGTCAGTTGCTACCAAGTAAGAAATTGTGACCTCTTGTAACAAAGGAGAAGACAGCTGAGAGAACAGAAAACTATTGAGAAGCATTTTTAAAGCCACAAATAGAAATGAAAAATTGATTGGGTAAGCTTAAATATTGAGAGAAGTCTACAAAGTGATTACAGAGTATCTGGACTGATATGGTGGGGGAAGATGAGGAAGAGCAGCCTCAAAGCCTTAGAGCATATTGGGTAACTAAGCACAAACAATGAATAAGCAGAGACTCTAGGCAAATATGAAGTGGAAAAAATATATTTAGAATAAAGTGTGACATGATTGATCAGGAATTCCTAGAGCAGTACCAAGAGACAGAAAAGAGCTGAGTCACTATTAAGAGAGAGAATTGACTCTCAAGCTTTGGACACTGAGAGAGCCATTAAATAACTCAGTTCCCCAAGTGTGTTTCATTCCCCATGAGGCCCACATATAGAACTACTCCTGTGCTTCCACGAGATTTCTATTGCCTTTCTTCTACAAATATCTTTACACTAAATCCCTCAGTACTTAACAGAGTCTGACATAAGTTGTCCCTTTTTCTGGCAGCCAAAATTGCCTAACATGCTAAGAAGTGAACTTCATCCTTCTTACAGTGTAGTAGCCAAAAATGGATAAAATCCTACAGATTTATGCTACCCAGTGAGGAGTAAAAAGAGATTATTACCTTCTCCACTGTGGACATTATCCCCTTTATCTTTTTATTGGCAGCCTCATCAGTTTGCTGCTTATACTGACCTCTGTGCCAAGAATCCTCAATTCTTTCATTACTTATGTATTCATTCAACATATATTTATTGGGCTCCTTGTATGTGCTAGGCACTGTTCAAGGCACTGAAGATGCAAAAGTAAGCTACACTGTCCCTGCCCTCATGGAGTTTAGCATCTACTGGTGGAGACAGACATTGAACAAGTATCACACTCATGGAAGCTGATTCATTACACACAAGTGAGGAGATGGCCCCAGAACCACTCATGCTCACCATGAGACTGTCTGCCATTGTCCTCCACCCCTCCACTGGCAGGAAAACAGAGGAGCTTTAGAGCTCCCTCCCAGGGGAGACTCACTGTCTCTACCACTATCTCTGCTTTATCTTCACTTACTTCAGTCAGCACAAAAAACTCAGGCCTCTCAGGAGATCCCACAAACCCAAACCCCAATATCCGTAAGGCTGTGACTTCAGCTCCCACCCCATCTCCAACTCCTCCAACCCTTCTGCTGTACCCTGGAGAGTGCTCAGTGCATCATCACTACCCAACATCCTCAAAATGTCCATGAATGTTCCTGTCTCTTAGGGCTCCAACTAAAAGCCGCCTCTTCCCTGAGTTCCCTGCTTCCTCTCCAGCCCTCTCAGGTTGTGACTGTTACAGGTCTCTAGGCCTGGAGGTGGGAAATGTGTCCTCCTTGCTCCTCCTCTAAATCGTTTTCCATCTCTCCTCCTAACCCCTAAACACACACACACACACACACACACACACACACACACACACACACACACAGCTTCGAATCTCACGTCATCAGACAACACTATCCATTATCTTCCCTATAGGAGTCATTTACTCATCTGCCCTTTCCTCCTCCTTAAACTTCTCCCAACACCTTTACCCCACCCCTCTCCTGCTACTCCTAACTAATGACCCAACTCCCCTTTTCAATGATAAAACAGGAGAAATCCGAAGAGAACTTAAATAAGTTCTTCACATCTACCTGCCTAATTATATCTGAGTCATGTACTCTCCATTTTTGTCACTACTGATGAATTATTTGTACTCTTAAAGTTACTTAAGTGTCTACTCAAGGGCTTTGCTTTAGCAACTCTTCCATTTCTTGTTCACACAGGGGGATGTTTCCCAATAGCTTATAAAGATAAACATATTACACTACATATACTGTATATACTCTAGAATATATATATAATAGTGTGTATATATATACTGTATATACACTGTATATATTCTGGAAACCTAGCTCTCCACTTAAAAATTAGGTTGCCTTTAGCGAGCTTTGTTATGTGTCTAATTTTCAATTTCCTCATCTATCCAATGTGAAAATTAATGCCAATTTCATAAAGTTGTTGAGTAGGTTAAATGACTTACCATATGCAAAGTACTTTATACAAAAAAAGCATTCAATAAATGTTAGCTCCAAATTTCCTCAACACTGCGGGTTAAGCACAGGTAAACAATGGAGAAATGAAAACATTACTTTGTTCAAATGAACTGCACTTAAGCTATTCTGATAACACACTGTACAAACTTCTCGTTATCTTTCACTTCCAGCTCTTGTCTTCACAAACCTATTATTTTGACTCTACCATTCACTACAGCCAAGACGAGACACCAAAATGGTATCTAATTTTAAACACTTACTAAAGGATGCAGAAAGGAAAATCCATTTCTAATGATTTTATGCCTAATCTGTGATACTTGGTAGATGAAAAATTGGTCTCCTTCTTCAACTGTAACTGTTCTTAGAAGTCACTTAATTTAAAAATATATATTAATCAATATAACATATACACATGGTAACAAAGCAAATAGCACATATGATAAAAAGCAAAAATAGCACCCACATCTTTCTCTTCTTACCCCCAATACCACATCCTAGAAGCAAACTCTTCCAATTGTTTCTGCTTGTAGTTTTAGTGGTTACCTCCCTAATTCCAGATACTATGATTTTATCTCTGTTTTGATTTATCCACTTTAGATAGTATCTAATTAATCCCATACATGAGAGCTTGAAATTCAGGTCACTTACTCATCTCTATTCTTTTCAATATATATTATTAGTATTAATAATTCTATCAGTTATCTTTATATCTTTAAATAATATATTTAAACCTCTATTTCTTATCCCATCAGCTCTTGCAGTATCTCTTGCAACTCACTTATTAAAGGCATAATTTAATGTAAGCTTCAAAAGGGTAAGAAGTTTTGTCTGTCTTTTCCCCCTTTCTCTGTATCTCAAGTACCTAAAACAACATCTGCACCCAGTAGATTCTCAGCAAATATTTGTCAAGTGAATGAATGAATGACTGCATTAATGGTATCAGTGTATTGGCATCCTTACCCTTCCTTCTACATGTTCTATTTTTCCTCCTATCCATTATACCTTTGGGGTTTTTTTTACCATGTAAATTTATTAAAATTTGCATTCAGTCCTGCAAGCACAGAAAAGCCTTCTATGCTTTATCCATAGGTGACTAGGACTAGAAGTCTTTGCTTTTCCCAAATATTGTTCAGTTTTAGAGAAGAGCCACCTGATGTTTTGCCTGCATGTTGGTTTGGGGAAGAAGGACTGAGGTACCTACTGGTTGCAGCAGCTTCATTACAGACTTCAAACAAATCCCCTGATTTCAACTTCAGTTCTTATTCCCTTGCTATGGACTCAGGCCAGAGACTTTCTGGGATTTTGCAGAAGAGATTGACTTATATCTCCTTGTAGCTTATCATCTATAAAACGATGAATTTCTCAGCCTATTTCATTCACCAAAATATTCCCATTCATTTTCAATCTCCCAAACTTTATTAAAATAATTTGTCTGTTGGTTTATCCACAATTTCATTGTCTACAATGTAATTAGTTTACTTCTCTTTGTGCATCTCTACTTTTTTCTTAGTAGATGTTAAAATGAAGACTTGTACCTTGTCTGACATCTTAAACTAGAAGCATTAGAAGTAATTTTTAAAGTGTTCTATTTAATTTGTGTGTATGTGAAAGAATTATGGGATACAGATGATTTGTTACAGACAACTTCTTGCCTTTCTTGCTCTGACCCTGACTTCTCACATGAACTATAATATACAGTTGATCTTTGAACAACAAAGCTTTGAACTGTGTAGGTCCACTTACACATGGATTTTTTCAGTAAAAGTTACACCAAGTATGCCTTACTCTCTTGCTTCCCCTTCCACCTCTTCTCCTCTTCTGCCTCTGCCACCCTAAGACAGCAAGATCGACCTCTTCTATTCCTCCTTCTCCTCAGCCTAGTCAATGTGAAAATGACAAGGATGAAAACCTTTATAATGATCCACTTAATAAATGGTAAATACATTTTTCTTCCTTATAATTTTCTTAATAGCAGTTTCTTTTCTCTGGCTTACTATATTGTAAGAATACTGTATATAATACATGTACAAAATATGTGTTAATCGACTATTTGTTATCAATAAAGCTTTGAGTCAACAGTAGGCAATTAGTAGTTAAGTTTTGGGGGCGTCAAAAGTTATATGCAGATTTTTGACTGCATGGGGGTCTTGGTGCCCCTAATCCCCATGTTGTTCAAGGGTCAACTGTATTTAATACGTTAGTGTTGATTCTCTTAATGTTCCTTTTTTATTTTTAATTTATTTCAGAGATTTATGTTAATTACGTGATCCATCTTTTAAGACACTTTTTAAATTTGACAAAAATCTAGTTAATAAGAAAATGAATTTAAAAAATAAAACCTCCCTCCTCTCTATATACATACTGCAGATAAGCTCAAATCCTCCCTCATAGAGAATCAAGAAGAGGGAGGAGTGAGGAGGGGTGAACAGGCAATTGTGACCTGGCTTCTTCCTTATATGGCCACAGACCCAATGTATGGGCACAACCAATGTTTCCAAGGTGATGAGTCTAGAGAATTCTAGAAAAAATGTCCAACGACCGCCTACACTTATCATACTTCTACATGAACAGAAGCAATTCTCTTACCAATATTCCTTGATTTATCCAACAAACATTATTTTGGAAGGAAGGAGTGTCATATTTATTGATTATACTATGTTCTAACTCTTCTACCTATGTTACATTTTCTGATTGTTACAACAAAATTAAGAAGTAGGTATTATAGTAGACTTGTCATTTGAAGACTTAACCTTGGGGATTTTAGCTATTTTTCAGTAACCCCAAAAGTGTATAACGTGTAATTTTTCAAAAGCATTCATTTGGCCAGGAGTGGTGGCTCACGCCTGTAATCTCAGCACTTTGGGAGGCCAAGGCGGGCAGATCACGAGGTCAGGAGATCAAGACCATCCTGACTAACATGGTGAAACCCTGTCTCTACTAAAAGTACAAAAAATTAGCCGGGCGTGGTGGTGGGCCCCTGTAGTTCAAGCTACTTGGGAGGCTGAGGCAGGAGAATGGTGTGAACCCGGGAGGCAGAGCTTGCAGTGAGCCAAGATCGTGCCACTGCACTCCAGTCTGGACAACAGTGCAAAACTCCGTCTCAAAAAAAAAAAAAAAAGCATTCATTTGATGCTTGCTGATGCCAAGTTGAAAGCTGAAGTAGTTGAGCAAGTCATTAATCAGGGAGTAAGATGGAATTATTCTGAGCACCCCTATTTCAGCTTGAGTTTGTATTCTCACCTCTCTATTGTAGCTCTCCAGAAATATTCGGGTAGTATTCTTGCATTTGAGTATTCCCATGCCTCAAGATTGTTCCTTAAATATTTCAAGGGTCTATTATAATCCATACGTAAAATAATGTGACAATGTTCACTCAAGAAAAATGTCAAACTAGTATTTAAGATCATTTTTTTCTGGCCTCCAAAATTCACGTTCTTCCTTTGCTAACCACTAAGCTTCCCTTAATGCTGGGGATAAAACTGCAGCAATAATCACTGTTTCCCATAAATCTACAGTCCCATAAGGAAGGGGGTACCTCTCACAGCAGCACACTGTGCTTCAGGCAGGCCGAAGATAACTCCAGAGTCAACCAGGCAACAATGAAGCTTTGTTACAAAATTAACTCCCTCCTAACGACCAAAAGGATAAGAAGAGCAAATGCAAATCACTCAATTAAATCAGTCAAACAACCAGTTTAATAACAGGTAGAGATTTGTGGCCTGAGGAGAACATGAATTAATTATGAAAAATTGACAAAGAAACCAAAATTAAGAAGCAATGGCCTAAGTTCTGCCAAACTCAGAGATAGTCTATGACTCAGACAGACTGGTTCACCAGCTTCTTGGTAAGTTGGAGGAGTTTCATAAAACTTCATTGTTCTAGTTCATAATAAGGTGGAGCGTGAAGTGTTCCAGTTGTTTTCAGCAACAAGTAAATCAGTGCCTTTGGGCATGGGTGATACTTGGTCAATGACTGAATCTGTTCCTGCCTCCAAAATATCTCAGCTTGGTTTCTTCAAACCAATTAACTCTGTTTTAGTAAGAGGAGGTTTGCTCATACCTTCTTTAATGAGATTAATAATATCAGTCCTTCCATAAAATCACTAATGTATAAAACAACCCCAAATCTCCATCCTCGATTGACTCCAGCAGATATTTATGAGTTTTTCCTGCTGGGTGTCACATATGCTGTTTGATATGGATGTGGACTTCAGTTCTGTTCTTTTTTCCAAGAAAAAATTTCAAAACAACTTTTAAAAAAAATGACGTGGGCCCTGTGCTGCTTAGTTAGCTGAGATGCCCTTAGATAAGAATTGTAACCATTTAGAAGGCACGTAGGCTAGTTAATCAATGAAATTATCAGTGTCTTCTCTTAAAGAAAATAGTACACAGAAAAGGTAAAATCTAACTCAAATTGCATATAATAATTGCTGAAGACATTTATATGACACTTCAGAGCTACAGAATACCTTCACATCCACGATTTCCCTGAATCCTTAGAAGATTGTTGGGAGATAGATGTTATTTTCTTTTTAACAGGTTGAGTATCTTGCCTGAGGTGACACAGGTGCTGCATGACCGCAGCCAACTCCACTTATATGTAATTTCTTTACTGAGAGCAAACCTGACCTCTGCTAAGTGAGGTGCTGGGGTTACAACCATGAATAAGACAATGTCTTTCTTCACATTGTGTTTGCAGTGTGCATACACGCATTGTCAGTAAAATGTCTAATACTTGTTGGAATCAGATAGAAAGCAGTGTTTTTTTGCCAACAGACAAGAAAACTCCAGTCAGACATGATTCTGGTTCAGCTTGACCTGACCCGCTTCAGCTTTGTCCTGGGAAGATCATAAATCATGATGAAAACATTGCCCAGTCCTTGTTCCCATTACCTCTTTGCCAGATCCACACAAGTTGCCAAGGGACTGATTTATCAGATTGTTGTTATGAGGACGGCTAATGCCACATTCATCGTGCCAGGTAGTATCTGTACCCAAGATCCTCCCTAGGAAAAAGCAGCAAGAGTTGAAGTTCCGAGAACTAAGAGGAAACTATGACCTAAAAGAGGTCACCTATGACCACGGGTCAGCTAGGTGTGAATGAAAAATTATTCTGCTGATTTATGAAGTGGAAAATATGACAGGAACTAGTGTTTATTCTAGTAAATTCCATGAATTTTACTGAAATCTTGTCAAAAACCAATATGTGAATCTTTCAAACTGTTAGCCAAAAGCAAATGTTAGTGGTCTGATTAGTGGAGTTATCCCAGCAAGCATGTAAAATGTCACAAATGACTTTAACCTGGGTTAGCCTTGTCCTTCCACCTGCCTCTCTCTGCACTGAGACACCTCCCTCTTGTATATTGAGGAATGAGCTTTGTCCCTCATATCTTTCCTGAACCCAGGGAGTTACTCTGGCATCGTCATGACTCACTCTGCAGCCGGGAACCATCTAGAACGTGCAAACATTGTCTTCATTGATGGAGGCCGCCTTTCCTTCACATGGGGCCAGCAACAGGAAAGGCTGGTTTTTTTTTTTTTCTTTTTTCTGCCCAACCTATTTGTTTCCCACATTGTCATCCTACAAAGCAGTACAGGTATATCAGTTGTTACTGATTGGCAAGATAACCAAAGGAACTGGGCAGAAAAAGCAGTAGTTTAGTCTAAGAGAGATAGTCTAGGGGCAAAGCACCCAGCAAGTTGAAGGCCTTGCAGTGGTTCCTGCGTGAACTCTCCCCAACTCATAACCTGTTGCCCTGTCTGCACCTTTCTGGTGTAATCTCTGCTCCTTATGTAATCTCTAGATGCAAACCTCCACCTTTGTAAACCCTCACCCCTAACCTCAGTGGTCATCCTTCCCTCATGGGTTAGTAACCCTGAGTCATTCCATCTAGAATAAATTCCAGAGGTGCTCCAGCTGGGCAGTCCAAAGTGGTGCCATCCCAGGTAAACGTCATGTCTGGGTCCTCTCTGAGAATTTCCCATTAATGAAAGCTGTAGACATTCCTCTTTCTTCAGCTATTATCCTGTGAATGACTGTCAGCCAATATACACATATCTCTAAAGGACAGACATTCACTCTTAGGGATGGGATAGCCAGAGTGTAACTAGAAATCACAAAGTGGTAGCCACAAACATGTTTTATTTGGGGCTGCATTTAAAAAGAAGAGAGAAAGAGAGAGAGGGAATCAGTTTCTGAGGCAGACAGAATAATAGTCCCCTCCAGAAGTCCATGTCCTAACCCAGAACCTGGGAATATGCTTATTTCCAAGGCAGAAGGGACTTTGCAGATGAGAATAAGTTAAGGATCTTGAGGTGAGGAGGTTATGCTGGATTAATCAGGTGGGCCCGATGGAATCGCAAGGGTCCATATAAGGGAAAGAAGGATGAAGGAGAATCAGAGTGAGAGAAATAGAGGTGATCAAGGAAGCAGAGGGTCAGAGACAGAGAGATGCGAAGATGCTATGCTGCTGGCTTTGAAGGTAGTGGTGGAGGCCACAAGCCAAGAAATGCAGGTGGCATCTAAAAACCAGAGAAGGCAAGGAAATGGATTCATCTGCAGAGCTTCAGAAGGGAGCATAGCCCACCAACACCCTGATTTCCACCCATGACAAACATCTGACCTCCAGAACTATAAGATGGTAAATTTGTATTGTTTAAGCCACTGTCTGTGGTAACTTGTTACAACATCAATAGGAGGCTGATACAGTTTCCACCATTTAAAAGCAGAAGTTTTGAGGTTAAAAAAAAATCTTTCAGACCTCTCTTAGAAAATAGAAAAAAAAATCTGTCCACAGAAGGTCTACTTTCCAGGACAGAATTGGCATAGTAGCCTCTGCCTCTGTTAGAAGTAGAATGGGGTCTGCAGTTCTGTACCACTCCTACTTTCGCTGTGTTCTCAAATGCTGAGGGTGAAGAGCCAGCTACGGATTACTATGGACTTGGAGCTTGCAATTCATGGCTGCCCTCTTCACTCAGTACCCTTTCATCACAAGCGGTCACACCATTCTTCCTCTGTCCTTTAACTGACTTGAACAACAGCCTAAATGGCCAGTCATTTGAAGTTTAAAAACTTGCCAATGGAAGCCTTCTGCTTTTATCTTTGCCTCTGAAAGACATTAGACAGAAAATTGGAATGAACCAGGGATGAGAGGTAAGTGTGTCCACAGGCAAGCAAGAAGGAGGGACAGAATCACCCAGGTAAGTATCACCAATGTGGCTCCATATGATCCTGGGTTCAGACAGTTTACTTTGACAGTATTATTTCATAGGTCATTTGTAGTTATCACCTACACAAATGAGGATTCTGCAGATTATGATCACTTGAAGTCCTAGCTTTTTATTTTTTTCAATTTGAGGGAAGAGGGAGCCTAAATTAGATTTTAGCAATATCTGGTCAGTGATTAATGTATACTACATTTTATAAAATTATCTTTTAAATCCAGTGAATGTTAGCCAGAATTTGGGTTGTTTTGTCTGAAAAGAAAAGCTTTGGCCACAAAACAATCTTCTAATGGTCTTGAAAATAGAAATGCATAATGCTGAATGTACTTAAAGTGTGCCCAAAGTAAAGTATTTCTGCCATGGAAACCACCCGCTCAGCAACTTGACCACTAAAGAATGTTTCCACTCTATAGAGAGAATCTATGGCCAAGCCAGGAACACCAATGATGAGCTGTAAATGCTTGCAGTTATACAAAAGGCCACTTTATAAAATGGCGTTGGTATTTTTCTTTTCCAGTAACACTGAATATCAAAAGGTAGCACCGACAGTACATTTCCAGAAATCATAATCATTTCCTCAGTAAAAAACACCTATTCAGAGCCTTCACCTGTTAACAGGCAACTTTACCTGGCTTTATTTTTATAACACCTCTGAAGGCTCAGCTCTGCAACTGGCCAATCATTGTGGACAGGCCAGTTCTATTATTAGATTGGTTTTGAAGTGTAAGCAGTCCAGAATAGTGGCAGAGATTTATTCTCCAAAATTGGCTGTTCCCTCTCAGTGTAAACTCTAGTCAAAGAACTATTCTCTCTGGGAAATGGATTTGGAAAATGAGGTAGTTTTAAACTGCTTGTGTGAATACATTTTTTCTTTTCTTTCTTTTTCTTTTTTTGTTGTTTTATTTTTGTTTTAGATGGAGTCTTGCTCTCGTCGCCCAGGTTGGAGAGCAATGGCGCGATTTCGGCTCACTGCAACCTCCGCCTCCTGGGTTCAAGCAATTCTCTTGCCTCAGCCTCCCTAGTAGCTGGGATTACAGGTGCCCACCACCACGCCCAGCTAATTTTTGTATTTTCAGTAGAGATGGGGTTTCACCATGTTGGCCAGGCTGGTCTCGAACTCCTGACCTCAGGTGATCCACCCGCCTCGGCCTCCCAAAGTGCTGGGATTACAGCCGTGAGCTACCGCGACTGGCCATGAATACATTGTTTCAGGAACTAAGTCACTCTTTTCTCTGTGGTACATGTGATGTCAAAGTGCACCACGTGGGGATACACATTGTTAACCTATTTGTTTTGGGACCTGTATTAGTGTGCTAGGGCTGTTTTAACAAAGTCTCACAAACTAGGTGGCTTACAAAATAAATGTACTGTCTCTCAGTTCTGGAGGCTAGAAATCCAAGATCAAGATGTTGGCAGGGTTGGTCCCTTCTGAGGGTTCTGAAAGAGAATCTGTTCCAGATTCTAGTGGTTTACTGGCAACCATGGGAATAATTTGGCTGCATCACCCTGGTCTCTTTCCAGGGTGAGGAGAGTCAACTTTCCTCCATATTATACTCTGATCTTGTCCTCTTTCCCTGCTCTATCCCTTGGGACTGCATTTATTCCTTGGCTCCAAGATCACCTTTAGGCAGCTGATTCTGTATAAGTTGCTATTTCTAGCCTTGACTTCTCTACCTAGCTACAAACTCATGTTTCCAGTTGTTTGTATCTGAACGGCAGTAAAACTAAAACTGAAAACATCATCTCATTCTCCTTGAGCCATCTTCTCCTACTACATTGTTTCTGTTAATTTATTATTCTTGTATTCAGCCGTCTTTTCCTACTACATTGTTTCTGTTAATTTATTACTCTTGCATTCAGCCAGAATGTACCTTGTGGTCATCATACTTTTTTTTTTCTCTTGTTCTCTTATATCCCGTTTTTCTAGAACCGTGTTGTCTCTGTTTCTGATATGTAAATTTTCTGCCTCTGAGTCGTCCTAGTCCAGATCCTCATTACTTTTCACCTGGGTGGCTTAAATTGCTCCCTGTTATCTCAGCCTCTCTTTGCTGCATTCTAAACTATTCCCTGTTCATCCGCTTTAACCTTCCAAAAGTTCAGCTGAAAAACATTTGTTCCCCCATTCTCTATAAATTTCAAACTGAGACATAAATTCTAAACCAGTATTTGTAACTGCTATACTGTGGATATACTCTTCTCGTTTTCCTCATCACCTGCCAGTGCTGCACAGGTACCCACTTTGTATTAGTCCATTCTCACACTGCTAATAAAGACATACTTGAGACTGGGTAATGTATAAAAGAAAGAGGTTTCATTGATTCACACTTCAGCATGGCTGGGGGGGCCTCAGGAAACTTACAATCATGGCAGAAGGAGAAGAAACACATCCTTCTTCACTTGGCGGCAACAAGAGCAGAGCAAAGGAGAGGGAAAGCCCCTTATAAAACATCAGATCTCACTATCATGAGAACAGCATGGAGGTAACGGCCCCCATGATTCAATTACCTCCCACTGGGTCCTACTCATGACATGTGGGGATTATGAGAAATACAATTCACGATGAGATTTGGGTGGGGATACAGCCAAACCACATCACTCTTCTTTGGCCAAACTAGACAACTTTCTTTGTTTCTTTTCTTTTCTTTTCCTTTCTTTTCTTTTTTTTAATTAAAGGATTTGATAGAAATGGATTATTCCCAACTATGCATCCTTTATGGCCAAAGACTTACTTATTCCATATTCTACATAAAGTCGTTTTCTGACAGACTAACAGGATCTGTGATGGCTAGCATTTTATTTGATCCTTTTTTATTCCACTTAACATGAGCCCTAATAAAGAGATGGGCTCATGGCATACACTCAACAAATGTAGTAGCTGACAGCCTTTACCAATAGGCCTTGCTTTAGAGTTATTAGCATGCTTATCTATTCTGTCTGCTAGATTGTAAGCTCCTAGAAAGTGAGGATTCTATTTTATTCATCTCTATAAGCCCTCACAATGGTTTGTTCTGGGCCTCGAATAGACAACCAAGAAAGACTGTTAATTTAAACTAAAAACTGTATTGGAAAATCAACTTAACACACCAAGAAATTGTGTTCCCAGCCAATATATGAGCAGAAGGTTGAAATTATTATTTGATCTTAAATATCTTGTTAAATTTGCATTAACCACTAGATTATGTAACTTTATCTTTGAAACGTCATAACACCTCTCTTACAAATGTTCCATAGGCTGCTAATGGCTGGGGACTTGGAAAAGAGGGGTGGGAAACAGAAGAAGGAAGCTTCATATGCTTATAAACTCTATTGAAAGTGGAAAAAGTAATCTTAAATCTTAGTCTTAAGAACGTCCCCATAGACAAAATTTGCAAACATAGTTATTTCTATTGCTCTTTAGTACAAGATTTCTTGCAAGAGACAAGGCTTAGCTTTGCCTAATTATTTAAATTGAACAGTCAGTAATAAATGTTGGTCTTCTTGGGCTTCCCCACAAGCTGACAATGAATCATCCTGGTCTATATTTCTAATTTATCTTGGAGTCTGAACTCACCTACAGAGGGATGGGAGACTACTTTCTTCAAAAGGACATCTTTGGTTTCCCCTCAGCTGGTGGGATACATATTCAATTACAATGATGCTGGGATTTCTAAAAATGTAGAAGAACTTGATACTGTAACAGTTGTCGAGTACCTTGCTTGAAACAAATGAAATCTAAAAATGTAGGTAAATGAGTATGAAAAATATTCACCATTTGTATCTATGTAGGAGGCATAGGGATCACTTCCCACAGCAAGTTGCTCTAGCCTAGGATACTTTAAAATGTAATTCAAGTTGTAAAATGTGATAGACATTATTATTTCCAGAAAATATCTACCAAATTATAGATTGAAAATCAATTGTATATAAGTCACTGTTTTGTAGATCCTATTTCAAAATCAAGCCACAACTACGTGAAAGAACTTGTCTGGGTCTTCAGAAATGATCCAATATTCAGGATAATTGTTGTTTACTGTGAAGGGCAGTCAAAAACCAAACCAGTTCTGAGTATTCAGATTAGCTCAGTGTTTCAGAGGTTAAGCGCTGGAGGCAGGTGTCTAGGCTTAGATCCCAACTGTATCCCCTAGTAACTACATTAGCTTTGACAAAGGTATCTAACCTCATTACGCATCAAGTTCTCATCTATGAAATAAGGATAAGCGTTGCCTTCCTCAAAAGCTTACTATGAACATTAAAAGAGACTGTACATAAACGGCCTACTCCAAAGCAGCCACTCAAGCTACTTTAGCTATTTTTAATTCATAGCAGTCGGTTACTCTATCAAATTAAGCTGATAACTATGCTTCTTTTCTTTTTTTTTTTTTTTTTTTGGCACTGAGGTATTTGGATTTCTATGGCTTTTTAAAAACAGCTTTATTGAGATATAATTCACATACTATACATTTCACCCATTTAAAGTATACAACTGAAAGGCTTTTAGCATGTTCAGAGTTGAGTAGCCATCATCACATCTAATTTTAGATCATTTAAAAATATTTTTTGCTTAATTAATTAATCTTTTAAAAAAATTTGTCATATTATTCCTGCCTCTTACAATTATTGCTAGGTTCTCTGTAAGTATATGTTGAATGAAAGAAGAAACCACTTTATTACTGGAACTGCCAGTATTTTTGAAGTTGGAGAAATGAATAAAATGTAATTAGCATGAGGACAATTCTGGATGAGTTTTTTCTTCCTGGCTGTGTCACAGGAAGTCTAAGACCAATCCAGCTTGTAGAGCAGAGAAAAAGCCACAAAAGTATTATTTTTCAACAGCTGGCTTGTAGGTTGGATAGTCTGCCCTGAGAATAGAATGAGTCTCCTGATCCAAATATATATAATATTTTTTAAAGGCTTGGGGGAGTAGCAAGGGCAACCCTATACTCCTAGGTGGTGTACAGAGTAGTAATAAAAAGTCACAGGGTGGGAGATCGTGAATGTCTTTAAAATTCTGAGGTCTGAAAAAGAACTCTGGATAAAAAGTACCTTAAGGTACATTACTTCACTTTAAGGACAGGGGAGTCTATTGATGTTTATTTCATCCCTAGCTAAGCAAAGATTGACTAAGATCAGCTATCCATGACTCAGCATTTGAGGGAGAGGGTTCTATTTAGTGTTAGCTTGGACAGGACACAGAAAGTTAGTACCTGGGCAGGAAATTTAAACCCTAGCAGTGGTATTCCAAGGCCGTGGTTCTGAGGTTGAGGTGAGATGGGCTAAAAATGAGATCAAATGGCAAATGAAGGAAAACTGGAACTACTTCACAAACTTGCCTAGGTTGAGTTCTGTTCAAAACACCCACAAACACACATTCACCAACATTCACATTCCTTGGTTCATACACACTGATTGAAAACATATTAGACTTTGGATTTTTCTTAAATAAATCAATAGGTTTTTAGCAAGCTAAACATGTTTATTGTTAACAGTCACCAGAAGTTTCTTTGGACTAGTTCAGGCAACAGCTGCATAAATATTTCTCACACTGGCTGTCTGCCCCACTCGCCTTTTTTGCAGGAAAGACCACATCTTTTTTTTTTTTCCAGTTTAGTTCACTGGTTGTATCTCATGTGGACTGACTAAAGAATGTTATTTCTAAAAGTAGGAGTGTTCCAAGTATAACTATGACTTCTGGCAACTAAAGAGAGGCCACTAAACGATTTTTTCCCTCTATTTTGCTGATTCCAGTTCATCCTTCAAGACTTAGCTCAGAATATTCAGTATTAAGAAATGAAGACCCATATAAATAAAACCATAAAGTAACACAAAGATTTGAATAAATGGAAGACACGCTATTTAATGGAAAGAAAAATTAAAAGGTTTGAAGTCAACTTTTCCAAATAACATTCTCTGTATTGCCAATCAAAATCTCAATGAGCTCGTTAAGAATTGACAAAATGATTCTAATGTTCATATAGAAAAATAAAAATGCTGGCCGGGCGTGGTGGCTCCAGCCTGTAATCCCAGCACTTTAGGAGGCCGAGGCAGGCGGATCACCTGAGGTCAGGAGTTCGAGACCAGACTGGCCAACATGGTGAAACCCCGTCTCTACTAAAAATACAAAAATTAGCCAGGTTTTGTGATGGGTGACTGTAATCCCAGCTACTCGGGAGGCTGAGACAGGAGAATCGCTTGAACCCAGGAGGCAGAGTTTGCGGTGAGCCGAGATTGCACCACTGCCCTCCAGCCTGGGCTACAGAGTGGGACTCCATCTCTAAATAAATAAACAAATAAATATGCTAAAAGAATGAGGAAAATTTTGAAAAAGAATGAGAACTTGTCCATGCATGTTATAAAGGTAGAACTGGTACTGACCCATGAATTTCTAGACTCCAGTGAGTGCAACAATAAGGTCTAGAAATAGTACCACATATACATGTGAATTTGGTATCCCATAACAGCTATTTAGTGGGCTCTTATTATATGTCATATATTATTTCTAAGCCCTTTACATACACTAATGTATGAATCCTGGAAACAACTCCAAGAGATACATAGAATTTTTATTCCTGTTTTATAAATGAGAAAACAGATTCATCCAGTTAGTAAGTAATGGAGCCAGTATTTGATCCAGGCAGCCTAACTCCAGCACCTATTAATTACTATACAGCATTTTATATCAGCAAGGGAAAAGATTATTCGACATAGGTAACTAATATGAACCCCACTTTATTTCTTATATCACAGCTAATTCTAGATGGCTTAATTTTATTTAAATAAAACTGTAAAAGTACCAGGGAAAAATATGAGTTTTTTAAAAAAAAAACTCTATGTGGAAAGACCTTTTTACAGCCCACCCAAAACTCGAAATCAAAATAGAGAAGACTGATAGACCCAATTCATAAATATTTTTAAACCAAAATTAAAGTCAAATAAGCAAAGAGGTGAAATAGCCATAGTGCATACGACAGACTAACATTAACATCCCCAGCATACAAAGATCTTTTACCAATCAGATGATGATAAACATGCCTATGAAAAACATGTATAATTCATAAAAATCAGAAAAATAGGCAAGAAATTGAAAAGTTTAACCTTACTGTTGATTAAAGAAATGCACATTCAAATAAAAATTCTTTATCAGATTGGCAAACATATAATAGATTGACAAAATCTGATGTTGACAAAGGTGTAGGAAAATGGTGATTCGAATTGGCACAACTTTTCTGGAGAGAATTTTGGCATTTATGAATCAAAATTTCAAATGTGTATAACTTATGATCTAGCAAGTTTTCCAGGGACCTGTCTGTGGAAATCATTGCTCAAGTACCCAAAGCTGTAAACACAGTGATGTTAATTATAGCATTATCTAAAACAGCAGAAAAACAGAAAACAACCTAATTGTCCTCTGGCTAAACAAAGGCATAAAGTATGATAAAATACTATATGGCCACGAAAAATTGTAACATGATTTTAAACGTATTGCTCTGCAATGATATCCAGGTTATATTGTTGAATGAAAAATTATCAAGATACTGAATAACATGTGAAGTATGGCAACATTTTTATAAAATTATGGGTATGCAAACACATGTACATGCATGCCTGGAAAGGTTATTCACTAAAATGTCAACGGCAATGATCTTCGTGAAGAGATTTTGGGTGAGTTTTACTCTCTTGTTTATATTTTCATGATTATTTGGAATTCTTGAATGAGCAAAAAAAAAAAAAAAACAAAAAAAACCACTACCCAAACAGAACAGACACAACTGAAGCATGTCTTCTCAGGAAGCCTTCTCTTACTCCAGGTTGGTCTGGACATTGCCCTCTAACCTCCCATAGCAGCCTATACACATCACCACAGCCCTTCCACATCACAATATAAAGATATTTATTTGTATGCTTTGCCTTTCCTTACAAAACATCAGTAAATACATCTGATATCCTATTATTTTGTTTTTCCTGTGCTGAGCTCAGTGACTGACACATAGCAGGCACCAATGACTCAACCTATTTGGGAATTCAAACTAGCCTCCCCTAAAATTATATATTGTAGGAGGGAGTAGGTGTGAGTTTTATGAGATTAAGATGTGTATTTTTCCCCAGTAGTTTTCATAAGCTAGATAAATTGTGGGGAAATACAAAGTAATGACCTATTTATATGGATCTACCTTTAAGCAAGGTTCAAGGTCCCACTAAATTAACATCCTTCAGAATTCTTATTGGAAGTACTGCTGTTTAAGTCTTGCTTGCTACTGACACTAACTTGATACTGGGAATATGTCTACTTTTCTGAAACTCTCACTTCCTGTATCTGCAAATTAGAAATGAGAATAATTCACCCAGCAACAGGAATGACTGGCGATGAGGAATAGCTAAGAGCGTTTGCTCGAGGGCTCTATTTTAAGTATGCCTCAATTCAGCTCCAAATTTTCCAGTGAACTCTATTTTGACATTGAAAAACAATGTTTTGGCACTACGCTATATTCAGAGACTTTCACAATAAGCTCCTCTTATCAGTTCACCATGTGATGTTTTCCTTTAGCCAGATCACTCATTTTATTCTGGGGTTAGCACTTTTGGACCATAGTTACAGATATGAACTGTGGATAGAAACGGTCTCTAACTTGTAACTATTATTATTTAGTAACGTAAAATACAAAATACATGGAAGAGGGGAGTAGGTAACATATTGGGGTACCCAGTATGTTACCTACCCAAAGGGTTAAAAGGAACCCCCTAACTGAAATTATTTAAAAGCTGAAAGACCTAAACTCCCTATCCAAACTGTTAATATATTCATAACCATATTTTAAGGGATGGTGTTGGTTTTGTGGTGTTGATGATTCTATTACTGCTTTTAACAATTCAAAGACATACTGGTATTAAATGAAGTTACAGCTTTACCCATTGTTAGACTAACCAGAGATAAGCACTTGGCATTATTTCCATCCTTAGGTCTTCAAGTAGTTATCTCATCATTAGTTTGTTTCCCTGTGTTTAGAAGGGTGTGATTTTCACACACTCCTCCAGCCAATGAAAACACCAGTTTTTAATAAGCACGTGAAAACTGTGACTCTTATTTTATAAACGTTGACACTGACAGGTTGATTCATGTCTGAGTATTTGTTTGATCTTTGGAAGTTAAACTTGGAATTTCTACAATGTGTTATGTTAAACATGTGTCACCATTTTGAACATAACATATTGCATAAAACTGTTTATAAGACCTGTATGCATTGCTAAGCATTTGTTTGCTTAAAATCAAAGATCTAAGAGTTTTAAGAACTGCAAAACATCTGAGAATATGAATGATATGCTGCCAGGAAAGAGAGAAAAACAAAGGACGATTAGAACTGAGAAGAGTGAAAAAAAAGTATCAGATGCAAATAACCTACAAGCCACAGTCAACACATTTGCACATGAAGAAAACAGTATAACATAATTTATAACACATTTTGACATATATTTATATTATACTTCAATTAACTTAGTTCTAAGATCATACAGTCTTTTCCTTCTTCTTTACACAAATACATATTTCACTTTTAAAAGAGGGCAGTCTTACAGTCAATTTAATGACTATTAACACATCACAATAATAGACTTTTGAAAAAGTCTGCTTATATCTTCCTAAACCTGTGTTTCCAAATGAATGGTATAAGTTGTTCTCCCATTAAGTCAACCACTGGGCTCATTAAGATATGTATTTGAGAAGAATGAGCTTGTTAGTAAACGTATAGATAAAAGATTTAGGTAAGGATTAGGACCTACTAAAGTGACTGCTGTTAAACCAGCTACATCTAATTCTCAATACTACTAATGTAGCTCTAAGCAACCTAAAACAATGACCCACTGTGAAAGATAAGTGATTCATCTCACTTGTTGCTTACTCCCTGACCATTCTCTCAGGTTTTATTGGTTACTGTATAACTTTTTATTAGTTATCTTTCATGATTTCAAATAATAGGCTTAAATTCTCTTTATTTTTTCATTAATTTTAGGAAGTATCTCAATTTCCTCTCCACAAAGTGAGAACGTATGAATGCTCCACTATCCTTCACTTCTTCTCACCTGTAACTCCCAGGTTTTGTTAACTATACCTGACTTTTAAATTACTGGTATTTATAACATTTACAGTATACCCTATCTTTGTTTTATGAAGTCTTGGGTTTTTTTGGTTTTTTAATATAAAATCTTGTGGGTTGTTTGTTCGTTTGTTTTAGAGACAATATCTCCCTCTGTTGCCCAGGATAGGGTGCAAGTGGTGCATCGTAGCTCACTATAGCCTCAAATTCCGGGCTCAAGTGATCTTTCTGAGTAGTTGGGACTACAGGTGCGTATCACCATGCACAGCATATTTTTTTTTTAATTTTTTATTTCTTCAGAGACTGAGTCTCCTATGTTTCCCAGACTGGTCATGAACCCCTGGCCTCAAGCAATCCTCCCACCTCAGCCTTCCATGTAGTTGGGATTACAGTAGGCATAAGCCACCATACCTGGCAAAGTCTTGTTTATATAAAGGCTTTTAAAATAAAGCCTTGTTTTTAAATAAAGTCTTGGTTTTTAAAATAAAGTCTTGTTTTTTTAATAAAGTTTTGTTTTATAAAGTCTTGTCCTTATTTTGTTAAGTCTTCTAAGCTTTGTTTACTGGTTGATTCTAAAAGTTAGAAAGGAATAGCATATAGAACATTATTATTATGTTGATATTATTCACTGCAAAATCAAGTATTATGATTAAACCTCAGGAGAAAGAAATGTAATCCTATGTAAGGAAAACTTTGCCACTCAAAGGAAATGATTTAAGAATCAAAGTATCCAGGCACAGTAGCTCATGCCTGTAATCCCAGCACTTTGGGAGGCTGAGGTGGGTGGATCACTTGAGGCCAGGAGTTCAAGACCAGCCTGGCCTGCATGGTGAAACCCTGTCTCTATTAAAAATACAAAAAAACTAGCCAGACATGGTGGTGCATGCCTGTAATCCCAGCCACTCGGGAGACTGAGGGAGGAGAATCTCTTGAACTGAGAATCTGGAGGCTGCAGTGAGCCGAGATCGTGCCACTGCACTCCAGCCTGAGCCAGAGTGAGACCTTTTCTTAAAAAAAAAAAAAAAAAAAAAAAAAAAATCAAAGTAAACTTAATTTTCTTTTCTTTTACTCCAGTAATTCCTCAGCATCATGCCATATGAAACAGTTTACTTTGTTTCATGTCTGGAACATGACTTTCTTGTACAAGTTTTTGTGTTTTTCCTAAAGTTTCTTGTTGCTTTTTTTCCAGATTACACAAGAAACATATAAACGCTTCATCATTGCATTAAGGTAGTCCAGCTTCTCCTCCTATGCTCCCCACCCCCCGTTCAGCTCCTCTGTTTATCTGCTCTCTCTTACTTGATTTCTCAATAGAAAGGTATTTGACATCCTAGATTAATCTTTATGATCTCTCACTTTTTTTCTCTCATAGTTACTTTGTCTGTTTGCTCTACTTTTAAACCTAGCCTTTTATTGAATGGAGGGAGGGAGGGGCAATCATATTTTTAATTTCCTCTTGTTCTCTTTTTGCATAAAACCGTGTACTTTCTTTATAGATACCATTCTTTCATCAATCTCTGAGGACATTAACTAGAATTTTTTAAAATTTTTCTTCCCTAAATAACCTGTTTTTGTTGGTCTATGACTTTCTTTTTTCATCTTAGCCCTATCTGATGCTGCTGGTTTTCCCCAGATATCTGGCCATCAGTGGTTATCTGCACAAACTCATGAGAGAAAGACTAGATTGATGAATTCAAGTAGCTCGTGTGGATTTCCTCTGTTGTTAAGTGGGGTTTTTCTTAACAGATATCACACCGACTGGAAGGATTTCTGTGCTAGTGGGCAAGTCATGTCATTGGGTAGACTTCTTTAAGATACATGGGCAGAGAGCGCAAAAGTAAATCAGGGTTCCACTCCCAATATCAGAACAGGAGGGTGTGCTCTGGGCAGGGGTTGTGGTGGGGCATACCTTCACCAAGAGTACTACCCCCATCCTAACTGTTAACTTGCTTCAGCCATTCACTTGCAAATGTCACCATGTCAGTTTCACTGCAAATGTATTCTGCATGGGTGACAGGAGCAGCTGTTTTTTATAGATCCTTCTGCCAACTTTCCTCACTGGTTCTCCTTATCTGTCAATCTAAGCTACTCCGGAAAGAATGGCTTGTACCTGTGTTACAGCCTTTTGTACTAGGGCTTATGTATCAGTACTCACTCATCTATTAATACTTTTTTTTTTTTTTTGAGACAGAGTCTCACTCTGTCACCCAGGCTGGAGTGCAGTGGCATGATCTCGGCTCACTGCAACCTCCGACTCCCAGGTTCAAGAGATTCTCCTACCTCAGCCTCCTGAGCAGCTGGGACTACAGGCACATGCCACCACGCCCAGCTAATTTTTGTATTTTTTAGTAGAGACGGGGTTTCACCATATTGACCAGGCTTGTCTCGAACTCCTGACCTCGTGATCCGCCCCCCTCGGCCTCCCAAAGTGCTGGGACTACTGGCGTGAGCCACCGCGGCCCTATTAATACTTTTTTATGCCAGAAATGTGTCTTTGATCTGGTGATGATTCCACCCTAGAAATCCTCATTTGCCATAAACAAATAGGCCCCTTAGGATATTAAGGATTTTCTGGCACTTCTCATTAGACAAAGCTCATGCCAGGGTTATGGGATATGGAGGAGAGAAAGCCTTTGGACACAGACAGAAATCATTTTAGATTCTGTTCTGCTACTTACTAGCTGCACAAGTACATGATATTTATTCTAAAACTGTTTCCACAACTATAAAGCACAGACAATATCTTTTTCACTGAGTTATGGTGAGGACTAAATGAATAAAGTGTTGACAAATAATGGATGTTCAAATGTTAATTCCTTTCCACTGGAGTGTCTTTACTTAAATACCTGGGATTTAATAGGTAAGAAGATATGTATCTATTTAGTTAATACATAGTATTAAATAAAATATTAAATCTATCATTGGCATTCTTTTAATTATCTTCACATTAAGCTCAAATATTACTTTAGATAGGACTTAATATGTGCCCATGTCCTGCTTGAGATCACTTATTATAAGGTCTTTATAACATAGTTCTTCAAAACATGGATTTCTTTTGAAGTGTTTTAGTTACCATAAAATATATCTATTCTCTTACATCTTCAATCTATTTAATTAGATTAACTTCTGTATTATCATCATTACAATTGTATACATTAGTTTAGGACAACCACCAAGTTGATTTTGAACATATTTACTTCAAAAACTTTGCAGTGCACTTTTCTCCCAGCAAAATGCAATAAGGAAAATGTTCAAATAGAAAAATATATACTAACCTACATAGAGGCCAGGGTAAAGAACATGAAAAAAAAAATAAAGCACTTACTTGTGTTGTACTTTGATCTTCCATTTGTCCATTCTTTAGATAAAATACTTACTCCCTTTTGGACTTGAAAACAAGCCTCCTTATAAGGAAAAAAAGTCATTTAACTTTTAAAGTGTGACTAAGTGTAGCCAGTTCAGACTTGTGCTAATTCTGTATGTGTTGTCACAAGGTTCTTCTAACTTTTCAACTCTATTCTTGAATTGCTGTCCTATAAAAGAAAAATTTCCCGATAGCAAAGATTTTTCTGGAAGGTGGATCAAGAGGAAGACAACATTATAAAAAGAAGGAGCAATACTTAACTGACATCATAGAGTTTGAAGTATCATTTGAGAGAGAAAAGTAAAACTCAGTGATCTTTTGTCTTGGCTGAAAGGAATTGTGGACTAAATTTATTTTTAATCACAATAAATATTAATATTAGACTAGATAAGTTGTGTATCTATTTTCCTCTGTTCTATTAAAGTTTTAAATTTCTATATCAACAGTCTTAATGCAAACGTGACTTTTATTTTAACCTTCCTTAGAATGTGGGGAAAAAATACATAATAATAGTCAGCAGACAGAGATAAGGAAACCGAATGATGATATAAAAAGATTTGTTTTCAAAACTTCAGTAAAAACAAATTATAAGAACAAACCCTAAGCTGTTCACAGTGGGTACTTCTGAGGATTCAGGGAGTGGGATGGGAGAAGTGGACGTTCATTCTTTAAAATTTGGTGCTTTTTTCTTTTTCAAAACAGGAGTGCACCATCTTTATGATTCTGGCAACTTGAAAGCTTTTTAATTTTTTTTAAACGTCATTATCCTATAGCCCAATAGTGCAAACACATGGACTAAAGGAACTATGTGGTAGAATTCGTACTTACATCAGTATGGCAAGTAATAAATACATAGATCATTTGACCTAAAGGAACCTCCAATAAAGGATGCCTAATAGCTTAATACTCTTTACCACAAATGTCTGCCCAGTTCTTTCTTGTTCTCCTTACTTTGCAGTTCTTGTCCATTCATTCTGCTCTCTTCCTACACTTAGTAGCTTTAATTAAATTCTATCTCCTTGCTCACAAACAATCCCCTGAGAGAAAAGCTTTTAAAATGGCATGTATTTTGTTTGGCTAGCAAAGTATTTTTAGCACTTTCAAATAAGTTGTCAATATTTAAGAATTTGGAGATCCCAGGCCAGAGGCAGTGGCTCACGCTAGTAATCCAGCACTTTGGGAGGCCAAGGCAGTCAGATCAACTGACGTCAGGAGTTCGAGACAAGCCAGGCCAACATGGTGAAACCCCTTCTCTACTAAAAATACAAAAATTAGCTGGGTGTGGTGGTGGGGGCCTATAGCCCCAGCTACTCGGGAGGCTGAGGCACAAGAATTGCTTGAACCCAGGAGGCGGAGGTTGCAGTGAGCCCAGATCATGCCACTGCACTCCACCCTGGGTGACAGAGTGAGACTCTGTCTCAAAAACAACAAACAAACAAACAAACAAACAAAAAAGAATCTGGAGATTCCAGAATCCCCAGCTCCTCTTTGAAGATCAAAAGATCTGACAACACAGGACCCACATTCCAGCATGGCAATGGGGAGTGCTTACAGCTGACCCGTTAACCTGGGTGTACCCTATTACCACTCCAGTAGGACTGCCAAGGCCATGTGTCATTTAGCATGCCTCTTGTACTGTCTTTTGTCTTATGGGAAACAGTAAAGTAATTTCTTATTTACACTTTTATTTTCTTAAAGGGTAGGGAAAAAGGAAAAAAAAAAAATCAAGCCAGATTTTCCAAAAAAGGGGGATATTTCTTTATAGAAATGAAGATGATTTACCTATGTTTAATATGCAAACAAAGGGTGTGTATGCTGAAAGAACCAACTTAATAACTGTAAGAAGCCTGCAACAGAGAAAAGCAGGAAAAAAAATGTAATGAATTTGTTTTTAAGTGGGAACAAAATTAAATACTTCGGTAAAATGCAATTACATATAAAACGAGTATTTTCCTATTTCAAATCTACTTCATTCATTTTAATGACCTAATTGGCTCTGCAGTTATTTGAGTTTGACCCCATATTTAGAAGCACCCCCATAACACAGCCACACAGGTCACCTACCCCTGCCCTACTTCTGTGGTCTGAGGAAGTAAACAACAAAGGCTGTCCAGACCAGCAGTGATTCTTTTCCACTTCCTTCCTCTTCCTGCTCTGAGCAGTAGTCTGCAAAGGTAAGAGCAACAGCTGTAAAAATTCCTATTAACTCTTCAACTCCATGCTTCTTCTTCCTACACAGGGCCTCTCTCACTAGATGCACAGAATGGCAAAATGCCCATATTAAGAGCTGAGGCCTCCCCTTGCTAATGTGGTTCTGTTCATTTTTCAAGGTCATAGGCCTTCAGTTACAGCTGCAAACATTCAGGACAGATCTTCAATCCCAGCCTTGACCCCTGTGGGAGGGAGCAGAGAGCCAGTTCAAGACAGCAGCCAAACCTAACAGAGGCATCTAGTTTGCACAAACATCATGAACAGATCAGTAGCTGCAGGGCGATGCCAAATGCTCTCAAGTTCTCAATTTTAGGAGAAAGGAAAGGAGGCTCTGATCAACTATGTCTGAGTCCAGTCTGAATCCCTAGGACTGATAACAGTTTAGATCAAGTCCCCAATAAATGTTTCCTTTATGCAGAATGTGGCTCTACTCTCTCTAGAGGCAGCAGACATCTCTCCTCAGCTCCCCGTCATTACTAAGGTCCAACCTCTAGTAAAAATGCTGCCTTGTCTTGTAGTTCACTAAGTAATTCCACATGGCTTCTCTTATTTCATTCAACCAGGAAAGTTGAAAGGTAGGTAGGGTTGTTTTTACTATCATTTCCAATTTACAGAAGGGAAAATAGAAGTGAGAACTTAAAAGTGCTTAGTGTGACATATTCAAAGTCAAAGAAAGAGTGCTGGGCCTCATGTCTACTACACTTTTATCCAGTCCACCATAAACTAGAAATATGAACAGGGAGATAACACTAAAAATCATGACACTGTAGCCCTTTATAGAGAAAAACAAGTTACCCAAAACAGATGTTCTGTAACAAAAGCCTTGTTAAATAATTGGGGAACAGAATTCAGGAAAAATTAAGATTTTCAAAATATTTTTATATAGAAATTTTTTACAAAGATTTTACAACATAGCAAATCATTATGTCATACTGTAGAAAGATGAAGCAAAGGATTAAACTCCAAGGATAAAGAAAGTGCTCATAGCAACGTATTGCAGTCTCCATGAAAGTGCATATAAACGGTTAAGGCAAAGTACCATCTTGGTACAGACATGTTGCAAACTGACTTTTAAAACAATTTTTTAAAATATATACAAACTTTTTTTCTTCTATTCTTCTCAAAGGCATTTGAAAGGGATACTTTTATGAATATTCTTGCTGTAGAACAATGTAGAAATAACTTCTGGGTATAAAACAGTAAAAATAAAAATATTCTACCTGAGTGTGTTAAATCAAGTGATTTGTAAAACAAAACCTTCACAAGTGTGGGCTTTCTACATGTAACTTGCCAGGCTGAAGGCTTACACCCTCATGTTCTACAACACAGATCACTAATGATGATAACATGAGTTAAATTGGGATTCTTGCCCTTCTGTGTGGCTTTTGGCTTCTAGGTTCTATGACCAAACTATTGACATATTTGAAGTCTGTATGCAGTCATTGTGTGATAAATCTACTTTACAGCTTTGCTTCTACCTGCAGCTTACATGATAACCATGCTGTGAAGTGCTACATATGCTTCATACAATATGTTGCCCCATCTGATAATAAAAATACAAAGGTGCTCTTTAAGCTAAACCATAAACCTTATTAGAGAATTCTAGTTAAGTGTTTTGTTTTTCCACATACATGTAAATACCTTAAGATCAATAGGATCAATAAGGATAATATTAGTTATCAAAATTTAGTCTTCATACTTGAAGAATTTGTTTTTAAAAATAACTAAGATGCAAAAAAATAAATTAGCTAGTCTTGAACAAGAGTGAGTTTTGCAGAAAACTGACATATCTGAATTCTAGTACAGATAAGAATCTGTCAAATGATAACTGAATTCACGTGACTAACCACTCTTTTACGTAAGATTGTATCTACTCATGAGAAATAGGGGAATTCAGTGTTATCATTATAGTCTCCGTATTTAAACTGAGTTTTTCTTTTCCAATTTTTTTTCCATGCCTCAACATAAGGGAAATTAATCAGTTAATTTCTGCTGACTTAGGTTTCCTAAACAGCTTTTAGTTCTCAAGGCACAGCTGTGGTAAAAACAGAGCAAAACACCCAGCCATTTATTGGAATTCTGCAGTACAAAATAAGCACATGTGCTCTATATAATCTAGTAACAGGATAGCAACAGTTAAACTGTCTCAAACAACAGATGTATTTGCTTGATTTTCCTTCCTAACTTCTTTTGCATCAGGACCGCAAGCAAAGAGCTTGTTTCCCAGAGTATTTTGGGCAAATCGGAAATACATAATGTGGCCCATTGCCACAAAGGAGACTGAAATCAATACGAGCAAGCCAAAAGCTTCAGGATTTGGAGCCAGGATGACCATGATGAAATGCAGAAGATCAAGAAGATAGTTCATGGAGTTCTGTACACCATTTATAATGCCTCTTTCAGATTCAATTACATTTTCTTGCAGCAACTGTGTCACAGTTAAATCAAAGGACCAAAGACCTATAATAAAATATTTTTTTAAAGATTAGATTTTAGTTTACAGGCATACATTTCAAATCACAGATAAAAATCTGTTGACATATGCAAAATATACATTTTAGCCTGACTGTCTTTAAGTCACCTTAAATATACCATAGCCTTGCCTTAAGAATTATTTTTCATAAATAAATATTGGGTTATTAGTGGCCTCAATAAATGATTTTTACAGTCATCAGACAAAAAGAAGTCTAATCTACAAACTTCTTAGTTCTGTTTTTCTGTGATTATTCATACTACAAAAACAAAACTTTGAAATCAGAGACATAATAAATCCTATTATAGTATAAGTACTAGTATTTTTTAAGTTTCAAATGACCTAATAAATGGTTATGGTTAAAGTGTAAGGAAACTTTAAACCATTGTTATATTACTGCTAGAGTTCTAAAGCCCAAACAATAAAGCTGTCTTGCCTGGAAATTAATATCTTCAATAAACTAATGAACTGTTTTGTATCACAAGATAAAAACAGTTTCATTTCAAGACTGAATTCAGAGATAATTCATCAGTACTCTATTAATTATTACTTAAATTTTGCTTTGTAAGAAGTCTTTATGTTTCCTTCCAGGGCTATAAAATCCATTTGTGTGGCAAACTATATAATAAATACATATTTGCTAGAGAAGACCTTTGAAGGATTTTTTTTATCACTTTCACATCTTCTTTTAAAGCCAAAAACATTACCTTTTTAGTGTTGTCCTATGGGAATATTTTCTAAACTACAGTTTTTTTGTTAAGGTTATTGCAATATCAAGACTCTACTAGATGGCAGTATAATTAATATAGCTAATATCTTTTATAAATTAAATTACATTTAAAAAGTAATCACTTGAGCTCAGTAATTCAAGACCACCTTCGGCAACATGGCAAAACCCCATCTCTACAAAACATACAAAAATTAGCAAGGTATGGTGGCACATGGCTGTAGTCCCAGCTACTTGGGGGACTGAGGCAGGAGGACTGCTTGATCCCAGGAGGTCGAGGCTGCAGTGAGCTGTGACTGCACCACTGCACTCCAGCCTGGGTAACAGAGCAAGACCCTGATCTCAAAAAAAAAAAAACAAAAAAAAAAACAAGTAATATTTAAGATATTCATTTAGAAAAAATTATTTTCAAGCCTGAACCATGTTTTAAGTATATGTATATAATAAAGTAAACAAATACAGGTTTTCAAACTATAAAATAAAAAACACAATAAATATAAAGTATAAATATGTAAAATAAAAATTTCGTAAGAGTGGATTTTGCTTAAATTAACATTTAGGGAACATTTCAGATCATTTATTAATGGATTCTCTGAACCTACATTACAAAAAGACACTTTAGTTCATTAATATATAAAAAGAGATTTCTTACCGATTCTAGCAGCAATGACGCCTGCAAACAGCAGACTGACAGAGATTATGGGCACAGATTCAGGACTTGTCTCCGGGACAATATTAGCAGAATTAGACCCATTAGACATGTATATTTCAGTTGTAATTTCAGGTATCTTGGTAGGTGTAATTGACTCTCCTTGAATGAACCTTGATCGGATATCTTCAAAAGGAGAAACGGACAAGTCCAGGGGGCTTCCAGGCATGAATACAGAGATCACACACAAGATCAAACAGGAAAGCTGTGCCAATCCTGAGATCAGACCTGTCCGAACCAAACCACATTTTCGACGTAGCCAAGTAAAAGCTACAGTTCCCATTATTCCAGTTATAGCTGATGCTCCCATCAAAATACTGAGGATGGAACCACTCAGTCCCTGAGTGTAGGCGTACCCTGTGGTGATGCAGTCAAAGCCCAGGACAGTCATATAAAGGAAAGCAAGACCCATGCCAGCCAGAAACACAGGCTGGTTGTAGTAGGAGACCCATCCATCTCGGAAGGTACGGAAGGGCTCAGCCATCTGGGAGGCACAAGTAGGCTCTTGCTCATGTTCAAGCTCATGGATGTTAGAGTCTTTCACACCCATTAGATGAGTTCCCTCCAGGGGTTTTGGCTCAGTATCTGTTAAGAAAAGATACCATTATTTTGTTGGGGAGGACATGTAGAAATAAAAGCCAATTATTAGTAGTACTTTTTTTCCTTCTATTCCCCTTCCCAATGGGTACCCTTGGTTAGACATTGTAATATGTATTTTCTTTTACTAATAATCTAAGAATTCCAGCCAAGGAATAATCATCAAGTGTCATTTTTATTAAATAAACAAAATACTATTGATCTATCCCTCTTTTTTTTCTCTCTCTCTCTTGCTCTTAGAAATTATACTCCCACCAAAGTAAACAGCAGGAAAACTCACCAGATAAAATATTAAAATTGTCTAAAAAAACACAGCGTATTGGCCAGGCACGGTGGCTCACACCTGTAATCCCAGCACTTTGGGAGGCCGAGGCGGGCAGATCACGAGGTCAGGAGATCAAGACCATCCTGGCTAACATGGTGAAACCCCGTCTCTACTAAAAATACAAAAAATTAGCCGGGTGTGGTGGTGGATGCCTGCAATCCCAGCTACTTGGGAGGCTGAGGCAGGAGAATGGCGTGAACCCAGGAGGCAGAGCTTGCAGTGAGCCAAGATCGCGCCACTGCACTCCAGCCTGGGCGACAGAGCGAGACTCTGTCTCAAAAAAACAAAAAACAACCAGCATATTATTTTCTGGGTCCCTGCAGAGCTGGATAAAAGATTCTGTTTACCCAGAAGCCCAGCGTCCTCTTCTCCAGTGAAATACCCATCTTTGTGTCCTCACTCCCTTCCACTGTCCTACAAATGACTACATAACTCCCTCCTCACAGAGTCCAAGGGATTCTCTCATTCTCTTTTTTTCCCCACATTTTTTCCCAGTCCTATGACTTAGCTTTGCCCAGCTATCTCTCAAGTAAAATTGAACCTCTATAACTACTGCTCACATCAAGGAAGAGGGCTAGGGGACCCATTCTAACCCCACCAGATTCAACCCGGAGTTTTTCCCTAGATCCTCAAAAGCCTGCTCTTGCCTCGTCTACCAAAGCGATATATTTAACCTCATCTGGCCCCCACTGGTAATAAAACCTGATACAAATTCAAAATAGTTTTGATCTTCACCAACATTTAAGGTCTGAACATGAGAACAAAAGGAGAGATCATTGTGTTCAGTTTACCTTTGTGTAAATTCAGCTGTTTCAATTCAGTTTCCTCTTCTTTAAGACCAGCTTTCACAGCTAGAGCTGGGGTTTTCTGGTAAACCTTCCAGAGCAGAACGTACTCCACGCACATGGATACCAAGTTCCATCCCGAAATAAAGCCACAGCCGATGACTGGGGAGCCAAATGTCATAATCTGGCCAACAGCCATGGGGGCTAAGATGTTGGTTAACTGGTCAATCCTTCGTATTGTGGCATTCATATCTAGAGAGGCAGGTGAAAGAGGCAGGTAAGTGTGCAAACCCATCAAAGAGAGACTGCCCATTTACACAATACAAAGCTGTAAACCAAGAGTATAGATTCCTAAAATGTGGTTTTCTAAAAGTACATTTGTAAGAAAGACATTTTGTTGGAAAAATATTTGTTGTTTGGGTCAAGTCCCACTAAATTTGCCTCAACAATGATAATCCCCTTGGAATTGCATAAATCAGTCTAATAGCTTTTTAAAATGAATACAGCAGTGACTCTACATTCATTTTTTTCAACAAATATATCTTAAATGCCTATTATAAGCTAGTCATTATTCTCAACAATTCTTAACACTATAAAGAAGAAAAGTAACATTCTTCCCTGTCTTCACAGAGTTTATATTCTCACAGGAAAGAAAAGACAATAAATCAACAAGCATATGTGTGTGTGTGTGTGCGTGTGTGTGTGTGTGTATACACACACAAACACTGCATATGTCAGATGTTTATTAAATACTATGGTGAAAAGTAATGAAGCAAAAGGGCAGAGAGTGCCCAGGGGAATGTTCTAAATAAGGCGAGGTCAGAGGACTCACTGAAAAAAAGAGCATCACAGCAACGAGAAGCACTGAAAAGAAACACTAGCTTGGTCACAAGAGAGATTCTGGAGACCTCAAAAAAAGGAGAACGATAAGGGCAATGCCTGAATAAAGCTGATTTAAGAGACTGGTGCCAACCCCAGGGGACACCATTTGTATTTTCAGTGAGTCATACCCTGGAGCACAATGTGAATGCTTCCCATGGCCTTATGGAAAGCAAGGTACTGCCCAAAAAATGGAATTGGAAATAGACAAGTCTTTTGGATATGTTTTGACAAAAAGAAGAACAAAGAAATAGAGTAGCAGAGAAGGAAGTGTGCTAAAGATAGGGATTTTTAAGAGGAGCAAAATTAGAGCAGGATTATGTGCTGCCTGGAATGATACAGTAGATAAGGGATGTAATCTGAATCTACCGCATAACTGAAGGAGTTGCTCTTAGACAGGAACACAATTCATCAATAGTAACAAGAGTAGAGACCACATATATGGCTTCAGGTACAGGTAGGAAGAGAGACATGATGGTGGAATCACATGGAAGCTTTCTTCTCATTTATTCCATTTTCTCAGCAAAATACAAAGCCAGGTCATTGACGAAAGTGAGGATGGGGGAGGAGGACTTGAACATGTGATGAGAGAGGAGAAACAACTGTGAATGGTCCTCTAGGAAAGTGGAGAAGGAAAGAATCAGAGAAAATAGTGTGATTATCTGGAAGCATGAAAGGACCAACTCTGTGGCCCTGAACCTCAAGTGAGAATGCTGAGCAAGTTCGTGCATTTTTTTCCAGCCATGCTCTACTGTGGAAAGTTGGATTTAACCAAAGTCTTACCAAACAAAAGTGACAAAACGAGAGGGGGCCAACTGAGCTGAGGGTATATGCCAAGAGATGATCATATAATCATGACTGGCCTTGAATTTTAAGCTGGGTAAGAAAGAGACAAGAGAGAGATCATGGACAGTGAAAAGGCCGTGGAATGAATGGTTTGTAGGTGCCAACCACATGGATTGTTGAGGCTGTGGTAGTGAAGAAGTTGGTGGAAAGACAGAAGGTGATTTCTCAAAATATGGATGCCTAAGACTGAGATTATGGGAGGAGAGAATTTAGTGGTGATAACAAAGTCTAGAGTTTGACTACGGGAATGTATTCCTGAGTCAGAGTGCAGGACAAAATCAATAAAGAGGAAGTTAAAAAAATGTCCAACACAAAGAAATGATACATGTTTGAGATGATGGAGATGTATCTCCATCTCATCTCATCACAACATGACTATGTACTCCATAATAAGCACAATTATGTGTCAGTATAAAAAATTAATTAAAATAAAATAAAACCAAAAGTTTTAGGACAAAAAGAAAGTGAAGAAAGTGATCTACTTTTTCACTTCCTGTCTCACAGAACAGAGTGAAAATTAGTGAGACAAGTCTTAAGCAATCATTTGGGTCACCTTAACAGAAAAACAATACGTGACGAAGAAGTACATTAACAGAAGATTGCCTTTATTCCTTCTGTAATTCTTCCTGGTCCTCAATTGCTTTCCAATTAGCCCTATGAGTATATATTGCATATATGATAACAGGAGAACTTTGACATATTTCACCTTTCACTTGAGAGGCAAAGGCAGCCTTCATTGATCTTACACTTGACTGCCACCGCAGAGGTTTCACTACCATCTGCCTCCCACTAACTAATAAGTTTCCAACTCATATGCCAACAGAGAAGTGTGGAATTTATCCAAATAACTCAATAATTGGAATCCAAAAAGCAAGTAACTAAAGAAAACATATATTTGAATCTTAAAGTCCCAGAATGACAACAACAAATTATTTTAGTTAAAATTATTTCTTACCCTTTCACTACTTCAGTTTTTAAGAGCTCACGGAGCTTCCCAATGTCACCAATTTCCATCTTTTATATTATACTTAGAAAGTTAATAATATGTAGGTGTCAGTAGAAATGTTGTATTAAAAAACAGCTTTTATTTTTCTGATGCAGAATGGATAATTAAAAAAAAAAAAAAAAGACTTAGGCCGGGTGCAGTGGCCCACGCCTGTAATCCCAGCACTTTGGGAGGCCGAGGCGGGTGGATCACGAGGTCAGGAGATCAAGACAATCCTGGCTAACACAGTGAAACCCTGTCTCTACTAAAAATACAAAAAAATTAGCCGGGCATGGTGGCGGGCGCCTGTAGTCACAGCTACTCAGGAGGCTGAGGCAGGAGAATGGCGTGAACCCAGGAGGCGGAGCTTGCAGTGAGTTGAGACTGTGCCACTGCACTCCAGCCTGGGTGACAAAGCGAGACTCCGTCTCAAAAAAAAAAAAGACTTAATCATCTTACTGGTAGCAGGCTAGAAAAGAATCAGTCTTATGAATATGCAAATATACGCTCTTTACCAATTTATATTTAGTCTTACATAAGCACACAAATATGTGTTGATTTGATTCCAATTTAACTGTTCTCAGCTACAGCTGTGGCACAGAACATGACATTAAATAACTACTTCTATTATAATGGGTATATTACATCCATAGAAGAAAAATTCTTTTAAATTTCCTAGCAGTTTTGTCTACTTCATATATGAAATCGATTTTTAATCAATACCACACGAACACAAAATTTATCTGCCATACTTGATCAAGCTAACTGGCAGATTATTTTTTAGCATGATGGGCAAGAAAAATCTCAGAAGATACTAATAAAGAGTGATCCTCAAAAGAAATGGAGGAGGAAAAAAAGCAATAGATGGAGTTAAAAAGCCTGGGAAAAGGAAGTAAGATTCAAACGTGGCACAAGAGAATGTTATCATAAAACACTGTACTAAATCAAGCACCTAGAAAGTACCTAAATTAGTTAACTGGTTAGCAGTATTCATGAGAAAAATAAAACACCTTTTCTGGAACTTTCCAAACTGGATAATGACTGCTGTATTTTGGCCTGATGCCACTGAAATTCTAAAACTTTTTAACCTTGGCAGGGAAAATTCCTCCTTTTCTTTTACCCTCAGTGATACAGCTTCTAGTTTTAAAACAATCTCTAAAATTAAGAAACACTGTGATGAGGAAATGGGAGCAATCAGCATCCAGCTCAAAACTTTTACTTTTCATGGGCATACCCCTCCCCTTTCACCCTCTAAACATATCACAAACAGGTGAAGCCTTCCTGGCCTAGGCCCCTACCTGGGTTTCTTTGCCACAACCTCAAAAATCAGCCTGCATAAACACAAATCCTTCCTGCCTGGAGTAGGTGGGTCTGTGTATAAGAGACACAACCTCATAGGAACCCAAGGCAGCAGGTGGAGTCCCTTCTAGATGTACTTTCCCCCTTCTTTGTCCCATTTTTCCTTTATCCTCCTCCTTTTTCTCTGTTCTCCTTTAACTCTGCAATAGCAGAAATGGCACAAAAAATCCACAATTAGATACTTTCTGACCTTCAGAACTAAAGAAGTTTCTGTTTCCTGTTTTGAAACATGCAGAAAGTTTTCCTTCACTAGTCCACCAGCCCACACTGCTGGCTGGATGTGAAAGAGCACCACTTACTAAAAGCTAATGTAGAGTGGACAAGAGTTCAACAAACATCTCACTTCCTTTCCTACTTGAAAAACATCAGAAAGTTAGAAAAAGACTGAATAGCCTAGATTCTTCCACTCTGCAATAATTCATAATATAAAGACAGACAGCTGAGAAACGACCAGTCATATTTTTGTTGTTATTCTTGGACATCACTTCATAGAAAAATCCCAGAGTTATGTGGCATGTTTGCAGTTATATTTATATGATGTGTGTATATATATGTATGTATATATATACACACCTATATATGTATGTATATATATATACACACCTATATATGTATGTATATATATATACACACACCTATATATGTATGTATATATATACACATCTATATATATGTATGTGTGTATATATATATGTGTATATATATGTGTGTGTGTATATATATATCTTAGGACAAGTTAAAGATTCTGGCTAACTTTCTTTTTCATATTTCAGACTTTGCAGAGTCAAATGAGTTAGTTAAAATCAGTTAAGTGAAAGAAAATAATTTTATTTTCATTTTATCTATAGCTGCTGCACAAATCACAGAATAATCATTGTAAAAGTCAACTTTCTTCTCTAAGTATATTCCAACAAATATATGTGTGATCTATTGTCAAAATATATCCTTTTGTACCCTTTGAATTTTAAAACATGGATATATTTTACATGCTTTAAGTAGTTTGTTAAAAAGAGAAAGTAAACAAAAAAAGACAAAGCCTTATCATCTAGTTCAATGTGACAAAAAAGACATGAAATTATTCCTCATTATAAATGATCACAGGAAGAAAAGTAAATGAGAATCATGATTTTAGCTCCAGAGAGAATTTCCTGTGATACAGATTCACACATGCTAAATTCATCTTACATACACACCATCCTTTAAATCAATCACTGTGGAATTTCTAACTCAATAATAATACTGCAACCACAAAGTGATGATTCAGGCAAATTCTTCTTCTAGACCTTCCACAGACTTTGTTCTCCTTCACTCACCCCTCCTTTCTAACTTTTTTTTTAACCAAATGGTCCAAACAAAGCTGCTTGCTAACCCCAGCACATAATCTTGCCTTCTGTATCCTGGGATATGCCATTTAAGTCATCAAGAATGGTTTACTTGTCTGTCAGGACAGTTGGGCAATGTGTTTGTTATACCCATTATCTCAGTGATCAGCAGAGTTGACTCAGCTGATCTGACAGGTAGGGAGGTGTACCCTTCCTCCTTACACAGGGGAATTGTAATTCCAATTTGTGTCAATCCAAATTGTGTCTGTGTGTCATATGAGGGGACGGCAGGCAATAATGAGTGAGGGAGGTTATTCTGAGCCTAAGTAATATTGACAGAATAGGACATGTTGCCTTGTAAGCATTCTTCAGATGTTCTTTGACCACTTGTTTATATTCCCAATGAACAACTAAGATGGTAAGCTTCTTAAAAACTATATTCTGTCCTCTATTTCTTTGGTATTTGTAACAGCAATTATATTACATTGTACATAATGTAATAAAATTATAGATTATAACTTTAAGATGGAAGAAATTAACTTCTAGAGTCTCTCCTACAATTGTTTCCATTTGATTTAGAGAAAAATAACATCCATATGATTGATAAGCACCAGTAATAACATTCATAGGTATGACCAGTAAAATCTCATGTCAGATTTGCACTGTTCTAAGTATAAACATTTAGAAAGTTGATTGAATTTTTTTTTAAAAAAAAAAAAGAGGAAAGAAAAGTTATTCCATTTGCCAAGTTTGTGTAGGATAAAAGAGAAGTTAGCTATCCTATAAGTTAACTTCGTAACAGTGAGATAAATCAGCACTAAAACTGACAATAAGGTAAGAAAAAAAGTATGCTTTCAATTTATCATTCTTAAAAAATACCCAGAACAAAAATACAAGGCTTACAGCCTCATTTATCACCACCGATTTAAAGTGAATCCTAACATGCTCATTTCATTAAAAGAGAAAGCCAAATTACTTGCTAGTTTGCTTCTGTCTTCTCCTGCAACAACAACAATCCAATCCCTTTGGATTGTGATTGCAGTAGCAGTACTGGCCAAATTTGCAATATTTGCAATAGTGATGATCAGGATATAGCAGGAAGTCTAAAGAATGACAAGAAAAAAATGAGTTATAATGTCAGTTTACCACACTGTACATATGTCACTAAACAAGGCAGTTTAAAATAGTCTTTGGTGGAATGATAAAAAAAGTATTTTAATTTCATTTATAAGAAATCATTTTACGTTATAGATATGAAACTGAATGAATACCAGTAGTCAATGGGCATAATGTCCTAACCTGTATCATCTAGATCATCTGTAGTACACATAATACAAAAATTATAATAGTCAGGTGAATACAGTTATAAAATGTTAACACAGTGGTGGTTTTGAACATTTCTCCCACAAATATTGCCTTTGAAAAGAATGTTGAAGGGGAATTGAAAACACCTGTATTTAAGTCAGAGTTCTGACACCTTCTAGTTGCATGACAATGGGCAATCAACTAACGTTCACTTTGTCTTAATTTTTTCAATAAAATGAAGGGAATAGGCTCAAAGATTTCTAAAGTCCTACCTGGCTTTGCAACTCTATAATATCAATCCACATATACACAAGAAGATTCAATATGACACCAGATGCATGGTTTATACCACACCCCATCCCTCTCCTCTTTTCCATCAAGCTCTTATGAAATCACAACATGAAAAGTTATCTGGTTGACATTCCCAAACAGAAGTAACAATTATTATTGGAGGAACGCAATTATGACTGACTAATATAGATATGGATAACATTTATTAAATAGCACAAACAAAGTATAGGTCACTAAAAAGCTGAAAACAAACAACTGAATTCTATAGTAAACTCTTAGAAATGCCATTAGAAACCAATAGGACAAAATTTAAATTCAAACAATACTTAATGAGTGCCTGTTGTGGGCAAAACAACAACAAAACAAACTATAGGGGATATTACAGTAGACACAGAAATCAATATTAAAAGGTCACACTGGCCAAAAAAAAAAATAGCTTCAAAGCATTTTCATCCTTTACCACTACCAGATATTCAATTTTCTGCCATCAAGAATCTCATTGAGAACTTACGAGAACCCATCCATGGTACATGGTCAGAAGCTCATGTTTATGTAAGAAAACCATCATCAGGATGATTCCACACAGGATGACTGAAACATTCTGTACCACCAGCGAGGTCTGGGCCACTGTGCAGAGGAAGAGAGAAAGTGTACATTACATCAAAATGTCTCAGTGAGACTGTTCTTATCCACACATAATTGTTCTACTATAATACATTAATACACAGACCTAATTATTACCAGATAAAAAGAAAACCTTTCTGAAGTCAGTCCTGCCTCAACTACTCTCAATACAACCCAGAGGATCACACCAGACCAGTAAATATGCAAACAAAATGATGAAGTACCACAAGTTTCTCTGTTCACTGAAGTCTATCATAATGACTACATTTTCATTTAGTTTATCTTCTTGAAAGTTTAACATAAATGGAGCTGTAGTATGATATAGACATGATCCACATTTCAGCTCTTTGTTGCTTAAGGTAAAACAATAACATGTATGAGGTTAAAGAGGAAGTTATGAAATCTACAACCTCCTACATGGCAGGCTGAATCTGATAATATGGTTTACCTAAATAGAAAAGACACACAAAAATTTGCCAAGAATAAAGCAGCAGTGTATTTCTTTGCATACTAATGCTATTTGCCATTGCTACGAAATTCTAAGCTACCCCTTCCATCACAGATGGCAATTCTCTTATGAGGCGCCCATATAGATAAAGCACTGGAGTAAGGACAGATAAAGACACCTGGTAGCCTTTTCTCTGCCACTCAGTAGGCAGATGATCTAGGGCAGGATACCTAACATCTCTTACGCCTGCGTCTAGAAGGTGAGAATGGTAATACCTGTCTTCCTTACTTTATAGGGTCATAATGATGCTCAAATAAAACACTTACGAAAGCAGTTTGGAAAACATGAAGTTCTATATGTAAGGGATAATTACAGCTCTTGTCTTCAAGGATAATATAGTTCATCCTTGCTTGGAAGGTCTTGCAAGAAAAAATAAGCTGCTTACTGAAAGCAGTCTGATATAAAATCCCAACATATTCATTCATTCACTCATGCATTCATTCACTGGATAAGGATCAGATGTCAACTAAATAAGGTTCTTAGCTTTTGGGACCCTACAGACCAGAAGAAGAAAAGATATGTGAACAGATCATTATATCTGTGTAAGAGCAGAGGTGGTAACAAAGCCTCATGGGAACACAGAGGAAGAAATGGTAAATTCAGCCCAGAGGTATCAGGAAACATTTTTCATAAAGAGTAATGTATGAGTTGATTATATAGGATAAGTGGGAAATTGTTATCCTACCACACTTTTCTTCATCCAATTCAATATTCTTTCCTAATCTATGATTGCAGTGCTCAACAATCATTAGATTAAAAGTTTCTATGTATAATATTCCTATGTTCCTATGTATAATGATGCAAAGAAGTAAATTTTTTTCTAGATTACAGAACTTTTCTCTATATGTGTTCTGGTCTACTCATTCTAAAAACAGAAATATGTTCACCTTGACCATTTTCCTAGTAGCATCAAGTCCTAGAATTTGATAAGCCTGTTGCTCTGTGTCCAGAAGCAGTCATCTCGCACTGAAAGAATGAAACCTCAGTCTTTTGCCAACATCTAAGTCAGGCATGGTCAGGTCTTGGCATTATCAACTGAGCAATTCAAGAAAATTTACCCTGAATGATCATCCATATTTCCCTTATATACTGGAAAATTTAATTGATCAATTACTTTCTTTCCTGTATAAAATGACATGATTTCAGTACTAATGCTTAGAATAAATATCAAGATATTATTATTTCTTCTTTTTCCCTACAAAATTTATAATTCAGCTCTTTGTGATCCAGGCTCAACTATTCTGCCTTGAAGCTATTCTTAGTTTTCAATTCCCTTATACATACTCTTACATGAAACATAGTAACCAAAGAACAGATGTTAAAGCTGTCTCAGGAACATCACACTAAAGGGACTCCAGTACAAGATACAGTTAGGAAGCCTGAGTTAAGCAAACTTTTAATGTTTAACATGGTTCTCAGAGAAGTGCTACAAGGTTAATCATTAACATATGAAATTTATGAACAGCCAAAGATACAAAAAAATCTATTAGGTCAATGTCCAGGCATCCCAACTTTGTGTGGGAGCCATGGGACCCTCCATCCAGAGGTGGTGCCATCTAAGCCCTCCTCCCTCAAGTGTGGCATGCAGACATTCCCTGGTTGTTTCTCTCCTAGTTTGTTGTTTCCTTTGCTACAGAGGTAGCTCAGGCATTGGTCCCATGAATAAAAGGGCTTAATTATATAACAACACTCACCTTTAAGTCTAGCATTCTTGTCCACCCAGTCACCGATGATGGCTCCCAGGACCAGAACAGACCCTGCCACCACCAGCCCGTAGACTGCTGTCAAAAGGAGGCTGTTTCCATAGAGCTCTACCAGAAACACAGACACCGCAAAGTGCCACATCCGATCTCCCTTAAATGAAAAGAGAAAATGTTTTGATGGAATATTTTTCGTTTCTAGTCTATTGTACTCAGGAAGTTGCTTCCTTATCAAAAGGGCACTTCCTGGCTACATTATGAGACTTTCAAAGTCAGTAATTACTCTTAGATTGAATACTGCTCAGATGTTAAAACGTTCATCCCAGCACAATGGAAAATATTCTTGCCCAATTATTAAGTAAACTTGAAAAGGCATGATATTAATGAACCGCACATTCTCTTTTTCATTCTAGAAACAAAATGCAGTTTCCAGACCCAAGATGGCTTTTTGAGACAAAAACGTGTTCTCCTGTGTGTCAGGTTTCTCCTGGGGCCTGGAATTTGCCTATCTTGATTGCAGAGGCATAAAGTAGTTTGCTATTGAACCAGAAATCAATTACAGTACAGTTCACAAACATTAGTATACCTTGAGCATCAAGAAAAAGCCAGTTTTCCAATTTGTAAAATGATGGGAATGGACCATATGATCTCCAAGTTTTCTTTCATGTCTAATATCCTAAAACCTATGAGATTTCATAAAGTCATAATTCGAAAGTCATAAAACAGCAGAGCGATTGGAAAGAGGAGTAGTAACAGCAAATTCTGGCACTGCATAAACAGTGATGTCAGAAATAAACTTAAATGCCTAAGTAAGTAGTTACGTTAACATTTTAATACAGATGAGTTTTGAAAGGGGGAAAAAGCTACTTATTTCTTCACACAAACTCCGGAGAATATAGGGAATTTTGGAGTTCATTACCGTGAAATGTGATTTAACAGAAACTTTTAAGTGAATTAGGCAAATTAATGTCTTAAAAAATCTACAGTGGACCTTATTATGAGATTTTAGGCTCCATCCCTGACTTCTGAAATTAACATTAAGGAGGACAACCATGTTCCATCATAACTTATCTCTGGGAATCCCTATAGGAAACCAAATTCCAGGCCTCATAGATTTGACCCTACAGAAATACTTCTACTCCTAGTTCTTCCCAAAGTCTGTTAACATCTTCATGAAAAAATCCATGTATTAGAAGCAAATACTATCCTGGTATGTCAAATAATTTTAAAAATTTAATGAAGCCAAGATAATAATTTTATACATTCAAAACTTAAATTGATGCATGTTAGCAATCATTTACAAAAAAACTTCCTGTAGACCAGTAGTTCTCAACTAGAGATGACTTTGCTTCTCCTACCCCCACCCCACCTCCCCGGGGATCATTTGGCAATGCCTGGAGTAATTTTGAGTTGTCACAACAGCAAGGGGGTGGAGCTGTTACTTAATCTTTAACCTGAAAAGCAAATTTAGATTTGATTAGGATAAAATGGGATAGGGAGAGGGGAGATACTTTATTCTAATCTCCATTCCTCTGAATAGCTCCCAAGGAAAAGACAAAAACACACACATGTCCCAAATGATAGGTTGCCTCTGTCAGAGAGTTTTCTCTTTCTTAACATACAGGTTAAGAAACACTTTTCTAATACTGTTGTTTCTTTCTTTTTTTCTTACTCTTATTGTATTTTTTAATTGTCTTAGAGTCCTCTAAAGCAAGACATCAAGACAAATGCTATTAAAGTTTTGAATCTTGCTTTTTCTTGCATGCCATACCACCTCTTTGATGGAAAGAAAGAAATTGCTCACATTACCCCAATTTCCAACGGGCTTAGGCTTTAAGAAGCAACAGATTCTATGTTTACAAAAAGCCCAATATTTGGGTAAAGTCTATGTAAATATTGACCAAGTGCCCATCCTTCCTTATTTCCATTTCTTGCCTTCCCACCAATTCTCACTAAACTTGGATGACCTATTTATGTGTCCATGTACCCCCACGGGACTGAGAGCTGAAGGCAAACCTAATAACTGTCAATGAATGATCATGGTCCTCAATCCACTTAATACTTACTAAGTGGCTACTATGTACCCGACATTTGCAAGCACTAGAGCTTCAGCAGCGCACAAAAGGTTTTCATGCAGCTCACATTCCAGTGAGCACAGACCAAAAGCAAATCTAGCACAGGGCACGTGCTGCTATGAGGAAATATAAAGTAGGATGGAGCTGGTGGCAACAAAGGCCTCCATGAGCAAAGTGAGCCTCTGGGAAACGAGGGCTGGAGAAATGCAGACATATTGGGGTTTAAATGGAGAGAGTTTGTAAGATCATGTTATCAGATATAAGCAACTGGCCCCTCTTTTTCACTGTCTTACACTGTCATCTTTTTGTTATTAGATATCTTTTTTAAAGCCCATACTAAATTGTATTATAAGCTCCTTGACAATAGTATCCACTTTTTTTTTTTTTTTTTGAGACAGGGTCTTATTCTGTTGTCCAGGCTGGAGTGTAGTGGTGTGATCACAGCTCACTGCAGCTTCAAACTCCTGGGTTCAAGCAATTCTTCCACCTCAGCCTCTCAGTAGCTGGGACTACAGGTGTGTCTCATGACACCTGGCTAATTTTTAAATTTTTTTTTGCAGAGACAGAGTCTCCCTATGTTGCCCAGGCTGGTCTCAGACTCCTGGGCTCAAGGAATCCTCCTGCCTCCCAAAGTGCTAGGATTACAGGCATGAGCCACTGCACCTAGCCAGGATCCACTTCTTACACTATATTGTATTTTGATAATATAGAGTAAAATGCATTGATCCATTGGCAGATAGAAATGAAGTCAGAAATAAAAGGCATTCAACCCCACACAAAACTAACCTGAGGCAACCTTCTACTCTAATGCCCCTACGTTCAGTGCATAAGAAATCATGACTTGGCAGGGTGGGACGGAAAATGCATATATATATAATACATATACACACACACATAATACAGAAACATAAATGTTTTGTTGTAACAAAATCAGGCAGAGTGCCACACAAGAGAAAAAACATAAAAAGCATAATTACCTAGTGTTAGAGACATTCCTCTTTTGCACTCCTTTGCAGCGGAAAGGAGTAAAAATCCACTAAACCTTATATGATTGTAGTTGCTGCTGTTTGTTTAATCCAACTTTCTCATGAGAACTTCCTTTGCTTGACTTACTGTAAAGTTGGGATAAGCATGTGTCACCTTTCTTGTGGGACTTTTAATGAACATGACAAAATATCCTCCTGGAACAACCACGGTGCCACTGGTTTTCTGGCAAATCTGACCTCCTAACCTATTAACCAAAGGTCACATAAACCATAATCAGAACTTGGAAGAGAGGCATCTTCTTCCTCTAAGAGCAAGGCCAGACCACAGGCTGAGAATTTCAGATACTATTCCCATCACATGTTATTAATACTTAATATTTACTGAATTAAACTGGGGGAACAAACTATTGCTTTTTATTTATTAAGGGTTGTTTCACTAGGTTTCTACTTAGCATCATCAGCTGTTGGAATTAAAACAAACTCACACCAATTCCACTTTGTTTACATGTATTTGCAGAGTCACCCCTGTGTAAGCCTCTGGTAAGATAGGAGCTTGCTTTTCTAAAATGTCATCTATAAACTGCTATTTCTTAGAGAACCAATAATGTAGCTTAACAATTTCTCAAAGGTATTGGGTATAGATTTCCTCTTCCAGTGGTTTCCATCCATGTCTTAAGGATGATCCAATATAAGTTTCCAATTTAAAAGGAAAATAACATTCAAAAAATTTACTCTCAAAATTCTTTCCATTCTTTTTAAATACATATGAGCCATGGACAGAATATAGCCAGATTTATTGCTTTTAAACAATAATTGTTTAATGTTAAAGATTCTAATCATCACTGAACATATATCTAGCACCCTTCTAGTTTATTATTTTTCGGAGAGAGTTTTAGGAGCCCAGATCTACAGAAACACTAGGTCTTTTCCAGGACAACCTAGAAAGTCAGAGGGAAAACTGTAAATCCATTGCTGATATTCATTGGATGATTAATTTTAAGATAGCCTCCACTGCCCCAAACTTTATCTAACTATAGATAACATTTTTAAAGACCAGAATTTTTGTCACTCAGATATTTGTTCTGGGGGTCATTTATGTTTCAATTAATCTTAGAATGTTATTATTAGCTTAAGTCAGTCACTCTACCATTCTATTGTATTCTCATGGTGCTGCACGCTGGAACTAAATTTTAACAAAAAAAGAAAACAAAATATTTTAAAATGTGAAGAAGAGAAGGTATATGAGACATCCATCCATCTTTTGTAGCAGATATGTCTATTTACCAAAGCTACTAATGCAACATAAAATTTAAAAACAAGGCAAATATTCCTTTCCTTGATAATCTTGTCTGGATAGTTGTCTATCTACATAAACTACGATGATCTGATAATTAAGTTGCATTAACTAACACTCATGGGGAAAGATCTTCGATGTAAATAACGTTTTCATTAAAGCATGTGTACTTGGATGATTTATTTCTTTAACTGCTTGACAAAACTGGAAGTTGGCTTAATACAACTGGCTAGAACGAAAGGAAATAAAAAATTGCGCAACTGTGTTGTAAGACTATGCATTCTCACTTACCCAAGTAGAGAGAGAATGACCAAGGTAGAGAAGGAATTTTGCAGAGGTCAGGTAGTCGGCCAAGGATCCTGCAAAGACACAGGCGGGGTGACAAAAAGCGATGGTAGTCACTTAATGAGCTGAGGGCAGAATGCTTATCCATTTGATCTCATTAGAACATGATTATTAAAAACTACTTTGCAGGACAAACCACGTACATTTTATCAAGTTACCTATGAACCGATGTATTTCGTTCACTTAATACCATTCACTAAATTCAGTTATTGACCTAGTCAATAACTGCCCAACTTCACATTTCACATACAGTGAAGAAACTCTTGTTTCAGCATTCTTTTTTGGGTTGGTTGGTTTGTTTGTTTTGTTTCTTTTTTACACAAGGCAATCCAAACTGCCCAATCTACTCCATCCGTGCCTGTGTGCAAACCCCTTTTCCCACACCCTGAATTTCCTTTCTTCCTTAACGTCCACCAAATATGAGTCAAAGGATCTTTTTACAAAGCTATGGTTCACAGCAGAGCCACATTCCTCCAGAACTCGTGTAGAGTTGCTTGTCTCCAAAGCCCCACCTGGGTTTCCACCATATGCTTTCGGTCAACGACACTCACCACAGCATCCTCTCTGGCGGTTGTGATCTCCCGCCCTGGTCATGACACTAGGCGACCCCGCTGGCTCTTCTGCGGCTGCTATCGCTGCTGCTGCTCTCGCTGAGGTGCTTGTTAACAGGAGTGCAAGGAACTGGAGATAGCACCTCTAAAAACACAACAGCCTTGGGCAAAAAGACTACAACGACGACTTTGGCAAAGAACAAAAGAAAAGGGGCCCAGGGATTTTCTTTTTTCCTTCTTTCCAAACTTAGCTAACACTGTAGCTGAAGTTGGAAAGGCAAAGCCTTATGGAAGCGGTTTGGGAGGCTCAGCAGGTCGTCCGAGCCTAGCGGACGCCCTGAGCCAGCTCTCTCCGCCGCCGCCGCCGCCGCCGTGGGCCGGGCCCAGCTCTTATACCGAGTCGGGGGCGGAGCTCCCTGCGACCTCCGACTGGGGCCGCCCCGTCCCCTTCAGGGCCGCCCGGGCGTCCCCGCGGCGCGAGACGAGCTCCCGTCAACCTTGCGCGCCGGGCCGTCCCCGCGCCCTTGCCCGGAGGAGTCGCCCACCCCGGGCGCAAGCGTCCAACCGGCCGCAGACACCCTGCGCGGCTTGCGGGGACCTTCGCCTCGACGCGTTCCACTCCCCGGGTTTTCCTGCTCTCCGGGAAGCCGCGAGGGCAACCTCGGGGGGCGGCCGTGGGGCTGGGAAAAGGAGGAAGGCGCGTGGAGCCGGCGGGGCGGCGTAGGGAGATTCTGCGCGAAACTAAGCGTCAGGTGCTGGAAGAAAGCGCTGCGCACCGGCTACCCCGCAGTTCAGGGAAAGGGCGGCCGCCGGACGGTCGCAGTGCAAAGCTCCAGCGCGAGCTTGGTGGGTGGGGATTCCTTTTTTAACGAAAATAATTTTTAATACAGGTATCTAAATAAATATAATTCATGCCACAGAGGCCGCTTTCCTGGCCGTCCCATTCCGGCCCGCCTGCAGCAGAGAATGCCTTTCCTTCCCCGGACTGCATAGCAGGGCTTCCCTCAAAGAACCAGAATCAAAGGGCAGGAAGGGGGCGCAAAGATCAGAGTCCATCCCTCTTGAGAGGAGCAAACGGAGGCTTGCAAAGGTGAAGTCCCGCAGCGAGTTACAGACCTACCCGTATCCCCAAACTGGGGCCTCCAAATCCGTCCTGGAGACAGAATGAGGATGCTGCAGCCCCAGCAAACCCTTCACCATCATTCCTTCTCCCTCTGTACCCTCTCACCCCGCCCCCACGCGCGCGTCCCTTCCCCACCTAACCTCCAAATGCCCCAGTGACAGGCTTACCAGGAATACCGGTTATCCCAGTTGTGTCCCTGGATCTGTCCCTGTCCAGATAAAGCCATTCGGTGGCCTCCTGGAGGGTGAGGTGAATGACTAAAGAACACCAGACTCTAGCCTTGGTTGACTTCGTTTTAATCCTGCTGTGCCAAACCAACCCCTGGGGCATACCAGCCCCTTTTGCCAGTAGGTTACCTTACCCTTCTTAATCTCACGAAAACCCTGGTAGTGGATCCTACATATTGAAACTCCAACCAGATGCCACACCTTGAGCACAGGCCAGACTGACACCCAGTAGTGAAGGGAGCCACGCATGAGTATGTGCCCTGTATCTGCACTCTCAATCAGGAGCCCCAAAGGTCTACGGGGTGGGTGCAGCTGGATTCGGTTGGGATGTGGTCTGGTGAGTAGAGATAGGGGTTACAGTTTAACTACTGCTTTTCACTGCTTTTTGCCTTTTCAAGCCCTCTTTTTTCCTTTCTTTCACACGACATTCAAGTTCTTTCTCCCAATTTAGAGAGGTTTTGGTTTGCTAACCGTGGAGAATAGGGTCATTTATACATGCATCCTTGAGAATAAACCAAAGTATACTCAGATGAGTGAACTAAAGTGAAGGAGTGAACTGGTAAATAAACCCCTCCACTTTATGGCGATCCCTTATTAGAGATGAATTTTTTGACAGGTCCTCAACAAGGCACAAAGGATAGTGATAGTTTGCACATTTGTCAGAGTGTGTCTCAGCAACAAGGACCTCCAAGTGCTTTACATTAATTATTACATATTATAAGAAGGGGTGTCATGCTGTCCCCAACTTCCAGGTGGCTTTTTAAAAGTTCGGTTGGTTAAAAAAAAAATTACTTCCCGTAGACACTGTTTAAGAAGTATTTGTGGAAAGAGTGGCTAAGTCAGCATATACCTCAAAATGTGATATGGAGTCTCTGTTCTCCATTGTCACCAAGGAGTCCCCAGAAGCCAAAACCGAGAGAATGTTATAAAGAACAAATGGGATACTGCAGTGAAGCAAGTAGGAAAGATACTTTGGAAAGAAAACAAGCAAGGTTCATGACATTAAAACCAGTGAGTGAGCTGTGGAAGGGGAATCTTAAATCCTAATTAATGAGAATAGTTGAGATATGTTAGTTGGGGCTTATGAAATGGAAAGAAATTGAAAATGAAAATAGAATAAAAATCCTCAAACTATTCAGAAAGTGCAAAATGACAGAATTCTTTTGGCTTTGACATGCTAGGTTACAAAGCACCGCTTTAATCACAAGACCCTTCGGGCTCTTCCTCCTTCTGAGAAAACATTTGACCAGTTGAAAATTAAGATTTCTTCCAAAAGTCATATATATGTTTTTGAGAACACAGAACATACAACATTCCCATCAATTTAATCTAACTAAGAAAGTCATGCAAGTTTTAAGTCAGTTTACAAAAAATAGTAGATACCCTAAAGACCATGTGCCAATTCATTTTCAACATGTTTTAAAGTTTGTAACTAGGTTAACCACCTTTTTAAAAATCCCAGCCAGAATAAAATGTATATGGCTATTTAAAATTCATTTAAAGTGTTTATAGTTGGGAAATAAAAACGGTTTTATCATTTCATTTTTAAGTTGTCTTTTCACTTACCGGCCAGGCATCCTCAGTTTCCTCTGCCATATCAGATGTGCTCACCAGGACAAAGGCAGAATAAAGAATGGTCACTATTCCACTGCTCTGAAGAAAAAAAGTAATAGGGTTATCACCAACTATTACAGGAAGGGCTCCAATCCAGGACTGTGCTTCTGTTGGATGTGAACCTTTTTACATTAACTTAGGAGCTATAAAGCCACGTTTCCATTCAAAAATCTTTCTCAGTGTTACAGGCAAATTTCAAGAACGGTTTTATATTTCTATAATATGAATGAATGGCTCTTGAGAAGTTTAAGTTCAACATCTACTTTAAATTACAGACATCCTATTGAAAGATAAATATCCTCCCAGGTCTTCATTTTGTTTGAACATTTCAAATAGATTTGACCTTGCGAAGTTTCTTATGAATGCTGGCTCTCATTGGGGGTGCTCTCTTGCTTCCTCTCTCTCATACACACACACACACACACACACACACACACACACATATACACAGTAGTCTACAGTTTCTAGTTGGAAAAATTAAATACAGAATTCAGAAGATTCCAAAAGAAATATACTCCTAAGGCAAATCCATAGAGACAGAGAGCATATTGGTTGTTTTCAGAGCCTGGGAGGAGGGAAGAATAGGTAGTGACTGCTTTATGGGTGTGTAGTTTCCCTTTGGGGTGATGAAAATGGTCTGAATCTAGATAGTGGCAATGGTTTTGCCACAATGTGAAATAATAAAAGTCACCAAAATGGCTCAAGTGGTGAATTTTATGTTATGCAAATTTTAGCTTGATTAAATATATATATATTCTTAAAAGGAAAGTTTGCCATTTTTCAATAATGGTATTGATTGAGATAAATGTAGGCCAAATGTAGTCTCAGGAGATCTTAATCAAATAGAAAGAGACTGTAGAAAGAAAAAAAGAGAAGTCTTGTCCATTACGCTGACTGGAAACTAAAACATGGAACTAAGTTAACTGTTTAGTTTTCTCCATATACAGCCAGAAAATACATAAAATTCTATTTAATAAATATTTCAGTCTCTTAACTTTTGCCGTGGATCGTCACTTTTGCTGTCTAATCTAACTCTCTCATGTTACAATGTCAAGTCTGTTCTCCTGTATTCTGTCTGAATTCATTAAAGCGCAAAACAAATGCTTGGTATCACCACAACAGTATCCCCTTCACGTTCTCCAGATGCTGCTCAGCCTTGCCTTCCTCAGGTTGTATAAACAGGGATGGATTTCCCAAGTGTTCAGTTATTTTAGCTGGTATTCTCGATGCCCTTTTCAACAGCAATTTGATTGCAAGCCCCTCACAGAAGACAGCACAGAACACCTCATCCATCTAAGCAGAGTTCCTGTTAACACATTCTCATATCTTCAATCTTCCTTTTCAGACACTCTACACTGTTTCTAAGCAGCACCTTGAAGCTGATCCCTACTAAGCTGGCCATAAACATATTCATGAAGATTGCATTTTGCACTGCTGTCAAAAAGTTCAGAGTTCCTTAATGTTTTGTTTAGGACATAGTTCATGTTTCCAGTGCAAGAGTCCCTGTTTCCAGCTCCCTCCCCACCCCAACCTCTTAGTGGTATGATCTTTGTGTTTGTTCTTCTGTTTTGTTTTTTTTTTCCAGTAAATACTACTTCCATACTGCTGATTTTTCCCTTATCAAGTCTCACAAAATACCCAATTATTACAGCATGTCAATTATGAGTGCAACATAGTAAAAGATAATGATGTCTCTCAGTCATAAAATCCCTAGACAATATCCTTAGTCTTGGGTCCTTAATTTGTGCTCACACAATAGTGTAATAAGGAAAATCCTAGAACTATAAAGACTTTTATCATGTGACCTGGACAAAGCCCTCTTCTCTGATGCAATTAGGAAATACTGGCTACAGTAATTATATCAGCATTTAAGAAAAGTTAAAAATACAGTATGAAGGCCCCTCCCAAGGATGTCTGTCAGAAATATTTCATTGCAGTGTTATCTACACTGAATCAACATATATAACAATAGACACCATATATTTGGAGCACTATACAAGTGGAAGATATGACACAAGGTGCTTATCAGATATTATTTTATTTTCACAACGGCCCTATGAAATAATACTGATATTATCCCCAGTGTACATATAAGGAACTGAGACTCAGAGAGGTTAAATAACTCACTAGAGGTCACTCAGCTAGAGAGGAGCAGAGCTGGGATTCAAGCCTAGACTTGTCTGATTGCAAGGCCTTTGTTCTTTTTGCTTTGTTATTCTGTCTCTTACCTGTCTAATAAGCTTGGAACAACACAGGTGATGCCAATAAGCATAAATATGGCTTTTCCTCCCTACCGGCTCCCTTAAAGATGACAGGTACTCAGGTACCAAAAAGACGTTAGAAGTAACTTAGCGCTGATGGTGGAGGCCAGCATAAAACCAGGGCCGTAGTGGTGGGAGGTACCACTACCCCCTTGGTTGTGTGGGAACCACTTAATACCAGGGGCTGTCGGAGGGTGTCAGTGTAAAGCCTGCTGCCCGAATCCAGGTGATAGTCTAGCTCCGCTTCCAGAGCACTGTATGTTCATAAGATGAACAAACAACCTATTTAATGTTGCCCAAAGCTCAGTTTTATACTTTGAGATATGACAAGGGGAAACTAAGTAAAAATGAAATATTTTGGAGTTTGTCCATGTTTATTTTCAGACTGCTTACTACTGAATTTTGTAATCAGTATTAAAAGATGCGGGAGTTGGGATTTTATAAAAATATTTTATTATCTCAAAAATAGTCAAAAGGAATTTCTTGGCACTGTACAGGGAAATAAGTGATAAAATTTTAAAGGGGACATGAGAAGTATAGATTTTACAATATGAAGGAGGTTATTTTTAAGCTATTTATAAAGCAGCATTAGATACAGATTTATTATTCAGTATAGAAGATGAGTTTTTCTATGGTACCAGAAGAAATGTATTTTTGAGAATCATTTTTTTATATTTAGTAAATGTTCTACCATAAAGAAGAAGAATATTTGCACAGGTCTTTTCAGTTTTCAATGTGCTTTCATATTTTCTCACTTAATCCTCTAGTGATTGTACAAGGTCTTTGATCAAGGACATTGTACATCACGTCAACCCCAAAGGTCCATTGCCTGTATGTGTGTGTCCCTCTGGAGGTAGGGAAGGTTTTTAGTGATAGGGGTTGGTGATTTGGTGTACTATGGGTTTGGAAAAGGAATTGAGTTAAGGAGAACTTAAGGGGCTGAACACAAAAGATCAGGGTTTGGAAAGAAAATGGGCAGCATGGTACATCAGAAACAAGCTTCGGATTAGAAATCAGGAGAAAGAGTTCCATCTTTGCTAATAAGCAGCTTTGTGTCTTTGGGCAACTTATTTGACCTCTAGCTAAGCTCTATTTCCTCATTTGTAAATTAAGGCAATAGTTGGTCCCTAAGATCAGATTAATCAAATTTGTGATTCAATAACAGTATCTATGGTTATTATTTTCCTCTTAATGTTTTTCTATATAATGAGCATGTATTACTTGTATAATGAGCATATATTATATATACAGAAACAAAAAGATTAATTTAACCTTTCTGAGGCTTTAATTCTTCAAACACAAGAAGGCTTTATGCCGCCTCAACCTTTGAACAGGGCTAACTGTAAATTTTCTTCAAGGATGCTGATTTATAAAATGCTAATTAAAGTTTTAAAAATGTGAATTGCAATAATAGTTTTTAAAGAAATTTCAATATCTTCCTAACATATATAGGTATTATTTTATTTAAGATGAAAATGGGTGATGATTTTCTATTCTTTTTTTTTTTTTTTTTTTGAGATGGAGTCTCGCTCTGTTGCCCAGGCTGGAGTGCAGTGGCACGATCTCGGCTCACTGCAAGCTCCGCCTCCGGGGTTCACGCCATTCTCCTGCCTCAGCCTCCCAAGTAGCTGGGCCTACAGGCACCCGCCACCAAACACGGCCAATTTTTTTTTTTTTTTTTTGGATTTTTAGTAGAGACGAGGTTTCACTGTATTAGCCAGGATGGTCTCCATCTCCTGACCTCGTAATCTGCCCTCCTCGGCCTCCCAAAGTGCTGGGATTACAGGCGTGAGCCACCGTGCCCGATGATTTTCTATTCTTGATTTTGCACTTGATATCATTATTATACCTCTGGGGAATTTTGAGGTACTCATTAAGGCAACATATGATCCTTGTTTATTTTCAGGTTACTTTATCTGTCTCCTGGATCCAAATAGTCATAACCTGGAAAGTAATATCACCAAGCAAGGACCTTGGTTTGATAACTGCTTTGGTGTTTCTGCATTTAAATTAACTGCTTTTTGAGTTGTTTAGTTCATCTGTTACCTGAAATGTAGCAATGCATATTTGAAGTTTTGCTTCCTGAAGAACATCACATTTACGTATGAAGACTGATTTTCAATATACACCTATAGAGTTGCCAAAAACATACAAAATAGGTTGCTAGAATTGATTGGCAAAAATATCTTTGAGGTTATAAATCCCAAAGAATGTGTCTGTGAACATGTAGGTTTCATTTGACTGTGGAAGTCCAGCTGAGGCTCGTTTTAACTTCTTCACGGATTGTTTTCTTAGGCTTACCTGAGTCTCCACCAGCACTGGCTGCGAGCTTCCCCTTGTCTGTCCCCGCCCTTTTTTTCTGATACACAGGCATGGCTTCTTATTATTCTGTGGCAAGATCAACATGTAATTTCTTGTGGTCATGAGGTATATGTTTTTTGTATAATCTACTTTGTATTTGCCTCAGCATTAAGATGGATCCAGCCTTTGATTAAAAACAGTAAAGCAACCTTAGGAAATCACATTAGAAAGCATTAATGTTTTGACTAATTTAAAAATGCAAACAAAAAACACCTAGACTATAATTTTCAGTTTATAAGGAGGTAGTGTATCATTAAATGAGTTTAGTTTCTTCTTAGTACCAATTACTCTAGAGATTTCTAATTTGTTTGTCCTTATGATGTGGAGCCTACTGCCTTTAAGGTTAATGTGTACTGATATAGAATGATGGTTGTGGTTCAGTCTTTCATAAGGTGGACCATCTGAGGTAAAGTTGAACACCAATGGTAAAATGGTTAAAGGTTTGTATTTGTGTCACAGAAGTACCTCTGTACTACTTTTTTTTTTTTCAAATGGAGTCTCACTCTGTCGCCCAGGCTGGAGTGTAGTGGCACAATCTCAGCTCATTGCAACCTCCGCCCCCAGTTTCAACCGATTCTCCTGCCTCAGCCTCCTGTGTAGCTGGGATTACAGGTGCCCACCACCATGCTCAGCTAATTTTTGTATTTTTAGTAGAGATGGGGTTTAACTATGTTGGCTAGGCTGGTCTCAAACTCCTGACCTCAAGTGATCCGCCACCTCGGCCTCCCAAAGTGCTGGGATTATAGGTGTGAGCCATGTACTACTTTTTAAAAAATGTCTCACTTTACAAGCAGTTGACCAACTCAAACAAGACTGTAATCCTAGCAAATTAAATGTATTAATCTGCCTATTGTGAGGTGATAATGAGCTGATGATTGGATATTTAGGAAATAATTCCTCACCAAAGTCTCACAAACTGCATTAAATTGGTATCTTCCTTTACTTGATTGTGCTATCTGGCCCTAGGGAAAATCTGGTTCTTTTTCTCTTTTCAAGCTGTTCACATTTTTCAAAGCACAAGTATATGACAACTCTTCTGACTTCTTGTGTTCACATATTTCAGAGACTTCTCATCAGTGCCATTTGTCTCAAATTGCTTTGCAAACCATAGCAGTATATAAAATCACCACTGTAAAAATGTCCCAGAAGTGCCCTAACTGTGCCTTTTGGTCAAATTAACTAGCTATTGCCTTCATATAGAAGATCAAAATAACTAACACTTCCAGTTCTCTGCCAAACACATTCAAACAAAGGCAGTTTGGCTACACAACTAAACCTAAAAGTTCCACCACAGATATAAACTGATGGTTCAACACACAAAAGCGTGGGTAAGCATTTCTGAGGAATACTTACAAAGATTACTGGTCAAAATCTTTCTCTAATTAATTTAGCTATATATGTATGTCCAGGTTAGCCCTGAGTGTAAATATTGTTCACATTGTCCCTATATAACTCTGTCACACTCTCAAGAGAAAGAAAACTTCTCTACTGTAATCAATTGGTTTAGAAATTAAAAGAGGGAAGAAGAACCTTCAGGTATTTAATCTAGACCTTTTTTGATTGATACATAATGAATGTACATATTTCTGGGCTACATGTGATATTTTGATACATGCACACATTGTGTAATGATCAAATCAGGATAATTGGGATATCTATCACCTAAATATTGATCAATTCTCTAGGTTGGGAAAATTATAAATCTTCTCTTCTAGCTCTTTTGAAGTATACAATAAATTACTATTAACTATAGCCACCCTACTGTGCTATGAAACACTAGAACTTATTTTTTTCTATTAAACTGTATTTTCATTCCCTTTAACCAACTTCTCTTCATCCTTACTCCCCACTACTCTTCCCAGCCGCTAGTAATCACCATTCTACTCTCTACCTCCATGTGATCAACATTTTTTAACTCCCACATCAGTGAAAACATGCAATAATTTTCTATGCCTGGCTTATTTCACTTAACATAATGTCCTCCAGTTCCATCCATATTGCTCAAATGACAGGATTTCATTCTTCTTTATGGCTGAATAATATGTGGTTTTATATATACATATACATTTTCTTTATCTATTCATCTGTTGATGGACACTTAGTGTGATTCCATTTCTTGGCTATTATGACTATTGCTACAATAAACATGGACATGCAGATATCTCATCAATGTACTGATTACCTAGCAGTGGGATTGCTTGATCATATGGCAGTTCTAATTTCAGTTTTTTGAAGAACCTCCATAAGGTTTTCCATGACTGTATTAGTCAATTTTCCCACTGCTATAAAGACGTACCTGAGACTGGGTCATTTATGGAGAAAAGAGGTTTAATTGACTCTCAGTTCTGCAAGCTGTACAGGAGGTATGTCTGAGGAGGCCTCAGGAAACTTAAAATCATGGCGGAAGGTGAAGAGGAAGCAGGCACAATCGTCACATGGTAGAGCAGGAGATAGAGAGCTAAGGGGGAAGTGCTACACACTTTTAAACAACCAGATCTCATGAGAACTCACTCATTATCACAAGAACAGCAAAGGGAAGTCCACCCCAATGATTGAATCATCTCCCGCCAGCCCCTCCTCCAACACTGGGGATACAATTCCACGTGAGATTTGGGTGGGAACACAGAGTCAAACCATATCAATGACTGTACTAATTTACATTCTCACCAACAGTGTATAAGGATTCCCTTTGCTCTACATCCTCACTAGCATTTGTTATTGTTTGTCTTTTTGATCAGGAAGATAATAACCATTCTAATTGGGATGAGATGATATCTCATTGTGGTTTTGATTTGTATTTCCTTTATGATTAGTAATGTTGAGCATTTTTTCATGTACTTTTGGCCATTTGTATCTCTTCTTTTGAAAAATGTCTATTCATGGCCGGGCATGGTGGCTCACGCCTGTAATCCCAGCACTTTGGGAGGCCAAGGCGGGTGGATCACCTGAGGTCAGGAGTTCAAAGCCAGCCTGACGAAAATGGCAAAACCCATCTCTACTAAAATTACAAAATTAGCCAGGTGTGGTGGCATGTGCCTGTAATCCCAGCTACTCAAGAGGCTGAGGCAGGGGAATTGCCTGAACCCGGGAGGCGGAGGTTGCAGTGAGCCGAGATCACGCCATTGCACTCCAGCCTGGGCAACAACAGTGAAACTCCATCTAAAAAAAAAAGAAGAAGAAGAAGAAAAATGTCTGTTCAGATCATCTGATTATTTTTAAATTGGATTTATTTATTTACTTATTTGCTGTTGAGTTGTTTTGAGTTATTTGTATATTCTAGTTATTAATCCCTTGTTGGATGAATAGTTTACAGCTATTTTGTCCCATCCTGTATGTTGTTTTCTTTGCTGAGCAGAAGTTCTTTAGCTTGATGTAATCCCATTTGTCTATTTTTGCTTTTGTTGCCTGTGATTTTAAGGTATTACCCCAAAAAAATCTTTACTCAGACCAATATCCTGAAACATTTCCCCAGTGTTTTCTTTTAGTAGTTTCATAGTTTCAGGACTTACACTTAAGCATTTAATCCATTTTGATTTGATTTTGTATATGGTAAGAGATAGGGATCTAGTTTCATTTTTCTGCATATGGATATCCGGCTTTCCCAGAACCATTTATTGAAGAAAACGTCTTTTCCCAGTGTATGTTCTTGAAACCTTTGTCGAAAATGAGTTCACTGTAGGTGTGTGGACTTGTTTCTGGGGTCTCTATTCTGTTGCATCTGTCCATGTGTCTGTTTTTATGCCAGTACTATGCCTTTTGGGTGACTACAGATTTTTAATATATTTTGAAGTCAGGTAGTATGATATCTCTAGCTTTGTTGTTTTTGCTCAGGGTTGCTTTGGCTTTCTGGAGTCTTGTGTGGTTCCATATGAATTTTGAGATTGCTTTTTCTAGTTCTGTGAAGAATGTCATTGGTATTTTAACAGGCATTGCATTGAATCTGTAGATCACTTTGGGTGATCTTCCATGAGCATGAGACATCTTTTCATTTTGTGTGTGTCCTTTTCAACTTTTCTCATCAATGTTTTATAGTTTTCCTTGTATAGATCTTTCACTTCTTTGTCTCAATTTATTCCTGGGTATTTTATTTGTTTGGGTAGCTATTGTAAGTGGGATTGCGTTCTTTATTTCTTTTTCAAATTATTAACTGTCGGCCAGTAGAAATACTGTTGATTTTTGAACATTGATTTTTGTATCCTGCAACTTTACTTAATTCATGTATTGGTTGTAACAGGTTTTTGGTGGAGTCTTTAGGTTTTTCTCAATGTAAGAGTATGTTGTCTGCAAATAGGGATAATTCTTACTTCTTCCTTTCCAATTTGAATGTCCTTTATTTTTTTTTTCTTTGAACATAAATTTTATCTCCTGGCTCAGCTATTAAGAAATTAGACACTATTTTGTAAACCATTCCCAGGAACAGGACTATAAATGCCAGAAGGAATTAACCTACATTCCATTGACCCAAGATTCAGACTCTGACTTTGGGGCAAAAGGGTAATTTTTAAGAGATCATAGTGGTTTGCCTCCTGTCTTTAAGGAAGTGGTATGGCATAGTAGAGGGATGTGCTGTTTGACTCTAGACAAACCTGAGTTTAATCAAGACTCTATTTCTTATTAATTATGTGATAAGATTACCTAAGTTTCTGAACCTCAGCTTCCTTTTCTGTAAAATGGAAATAGTAATGTTTCCTTGCATAGTTAATGTAGGCTCATGTGAGATGCCACAAAGAGAGTGCCTGGGACTTGGGGAGTTCTCAAATGTTAATTTACTTCTCACAGACAACTTAGGAAACTGCTGGAGAGCTATCTTTTCACTGATCTCTGTATTTCCTGAATCTGTGTTTTGCTTTTTATAACGTGGTTTTCACTTCCTATCTGAAAAAATAATTCTATTTGTCTACATTATTTTATTTGCCTCAAAAATTTGTTTTTCAAACTTTCAGAAAGCAATCTTATTTTGAGTACCTAGAAGTTAAGTTCATACTTACTGAATCTCCGTTCTTTATAATTTCATTGACTTCAATCATTCGTTTTTAGAGTCTTCATGTTTACTAATTAGGGGTCAGCAATCTTTAAAAAACTAAGGATCAATCTTCCTTTTGATTTGTTAATGAGGTGGCTAGTACTGACTGGCCAAATCTCCTGGCTAATTTCACAAATTGAGGTGGCAAATGCATGTAGATCACCTGCCTTAAAAGCTTTGGGGATAAGGGGGAGAGGGGTTACAAGTTAGCCACAAACTGAATAACTGAGGCCTATTCACTCAGACTGCAGGAGATGTGTCTATCTTGCTTCGCATTATGTTTCTGGTGCATAGCACGGTGCCTGTCACATAGTTGTTGCTTAAGAAATGTTTGATGACTGACTAAATGAATTAATGAGCAAATAGATGCCACAGAAAATCAGCCCATGTGTAATTATTGATAATATGCTGTAGGATACAGGTGCCTTGTTATATCAGTTAGGAATGTTTTCAGTTGCAAGTCACCTAATAGTGGCGTAAACAAATGAGATTTATTTCCCCACACAGTTTGCAAGAAGGCAGTTGTAGGTGTGTTGACCCAGTGGTTCTATGATGTCAGGTTTAGAGTCTGTTGGACTTTACAGAGTTGCAAGATTGTTGCAGGATTTCCATGCATCATGTCCTTCTCTAACCATATTCAAAGGCAGAAGTAGCTATGAGTACAGGGCAGGGAGCCTCCCTTAGTAGCCCCTTCTTTTATCAAAGAGGAAAATATTCCTGAGGAGACCCACAGGGGATTTTCCCTTCACTTCACTGAACAGAACTAGTCATATACCTGCTCTTAGGCCAGAAACTAGGATCACTTTCCTTGAGATTATAGGCTCTTCAAGTAACATCTAATAGAGGTTCTGCTAGCAAGGAGGAATTAGTGGGGATGGCTTTTGGCAACATGGCAAGACCCTGCCTCTACAAATAAATTTTAAAAATTACCCAGGTATGGTGGTGCATGCCTGTAGTCCCAGCTACTCAGGAGGTTGAGGCAGGAGGATGGCTTGAGCCCAGGATGTTGAGGCTGCAGAGAGTGGTGATCACTCCACTGCACTCCAACCTGGGTGACAGAGCGAGACCCTGTATCAAACAAACAAACAAACCCCAGTGTTCTGTTGATATTCCTTGGCTATAACTAGACATAGAATTGATGCTTTTAGTTATCACTGCTAAAGTGGAATGCTGAACTAAAGAAGTGCTGTTTAATTAAATGCCATGTATAATTCAAGGAAAAAGACTAATAACGCTTCTGAATTTTCATCAGTATCTGTGATTTTGCCAGCATTTTTTGGTATTACTTATTATTTAAATGGCTATTTGCCTTATTAAGAGAATAAAAATTTATTTCAACAAATAGAATTAAATTAACATCTGGATTTATTTTGAAAATGTGTTTCTTTTATTGTGAGCCTAAGAATATCTAGAGTTTCTGTTTGCCCTACTAATCAGTGTCCACAAGAAAATAACGAAACAAGATGTGAAAAATTCAAACAGCTTTCTAGTATCATAGTATGATAGAAGCCCTAGATACCTCACCTAGTATCTAGTATCATAAAAGCCCTCAAAATAAATGGGATCCAGCCTTTTAAAATTTAATTTAGTTAAACTACTTGTTTGTGAAAACACGAACTTGGTCTCAAGTTGCTGTTTTCAGTTTCAGCAAAGTACAAGGTTTTAGAAAATAGTAATTCATAGGGTAGCTATGACAGGTTTTGCTGCTTTGTGAGGTACTCCAAATTGTTGTTATTTAAGTGATGGGCATCAAATATCAAAATACTAAAAATTGGGCCAGGTGCAGTGGCTCATGCCTGTAACCTCAGCATTTTGGGAGGCTAAGGTGGGAGGATCACTTGAGTCCAACATAGTGACACCTCGTCTCCACAAAAAAATAAACAAAATGAGTCGAGTGTGGTGGCATGTGCCTGTAGTCTCAGCTATTCAGGAGGCTGAGGGAGGAGGATCACTTGAGCCCAAGAAGTCGAGGATGCAGTGAACTATGTTCATGTCACTGCACTCCAGCCTAGATGACAGAGCCAGACCCTGTCTCAAAAAACAAACAAACCAACAAATAAAAAACCTAACAACAACAACAACAACAACAACAAAAGCCCTAAAAATTGCCTGCATCATGTAAGGGGTGTCAGGTGAAAATTCCTCCAAAAGAAAGCATTTATTTCCAGTAATTTTTGTATGAGTGTTTAAGATTATAATTTAGATAAAAGAGTTTTTAAAACATAATTTTCCATTCCCTATCAAACTCTGTCTCCAAATGTATCTACATTTATATTTTATTAAAGACAGATATCTATCAAAGTATAGCTACCAAACCAAAACACTCATTTCTCCTTTTTTAAAAAAAGTCAATACATTAAAATTAAAGGTTATTTATTTTTAAATGTTATGTGTTGTAAAGGACAACCACTGAAAATATCTTATTTATGAGTGGGTCTTTCATATTTTTAAGAGCTTTTGCCAGTTAATGTAACAAGTCATCATCATCAAATAACTTGCTTGACCACTCTAGTAAATATTAAGCATTTATTTAGATATGAAAGTGAAGTTTACAGGATGTAAGATTTTCCTGGTAAGATTGGGACACTTCCACAGAATGCAGGATGGGTGTCGCCCTTACAGTTTCCTAGTAAGTAGATTATATAAAATCGGAATAGTTTCAAATTTGGGGTTTTTTTTCTCTTTTATCTGTTCTCCGACTTTTTTTTTAGAACTTATATTCCACACTACAATTGATTAAGTTTTACATGTTTAGAATCTATGTAGGAGAATATCATTTATAAATCTGTGCTTATGAAATGAAACCTATCTCCATCAAGTTGTCACTGAGCATTAGAATCCCTGGCTGGCAGTGGGCTGGTTGTTTAATTGGTTAGTAGGTTCATTTGTTTATTTTTGATTGGTGATTTTTTTCTTTATATTTATAAAATTAAGACACAAACTCCAAGAACAGTTACCATTGATCATTGAGCATTTAAAAGTAGGATCTGAGGATTATAAGTGTTATGGGTTGAATCATGTCCCCCACCAAATTCATATGCTGAAGTCTTAACCTTCAGTACATCAGAATGTGACCCCATTTGGAAATAGGATTAATGCAGATGTCATTAGTTAAGAACAGGCCATATTGGAATAGACTGGGCCCCTAATCCAATGTCACCGCTATCTTATAAAAAGGGAAAATTTGGATACACACACACACATACACACACGAAGAAAGCCATATGAAGATGAAGGCAGAAATCTACAAGCCAAGGAACTCCAAAGATTGCCAAAAAATCATCAGAAGCTAAGAGAAAGGCATGGAACAGATTCTCCCTTATATCCATCAGAAGGAAGGAGTCAACCCTGTCAACAGCTTGATCTTGGACCTCTGGTCTCGAGAAATGGAAGACAATGAATTCTGTTGTTCTAAGCCACCTGGTTTGTAGTACTTTGTTATAGCAGCTCTAGAAAACCAGTACAGTAATTAATCATAATTAAGCTTCTTGCATCAGAAAGAAATAACGTTTGACTTCTCCCAAGCATTGTTTTTCAGCATCAAACACAAAGTAAATGTGATTGTGCTTTCTGAAACAAACCACTCATCTCATTTCTACCACTCTCCTTACCATCAATACATTATAATTCTTTGAAAACTAGTTAATTTTGGTTATCAGTTATATATGCTTAATATTAATGTTTCATATTGCAGAAATACCATAATGTGACACTGATATTGAGTATACATAAGTAATCAAGGAAAAATTAGCATTCAATAATTACAAGAAATTCTAGCATTACAACTAAAGTGCTACATTTTTTACATGAAAAAACATTAAAGCCTCTATATTCCAGGAGACTATTTCAATAATAAGAAAATTAGGGTGGTTGAAGACTAATGATTTAAGGAATGTCTTTCCTTCTTCATAAAGTCAATAAGGGCAAAATTCACAATATTTTCTTTCTGTTCTATGGGTTAAAGATTTAGATATAATATAGAACAATGTATGGTCACTTGTCAGATGACTAGAGGCCCCACTTCAATATTCTAAAATCTAAGGCCAAAGCCAAGAAATAAACAAGACTTTGTTAGGGCATGGTGAAGTTATTGAGGGAGGTTAAACTCTCCCTTGAAAAAGGGTGGTCCCCACTGAAGAGAAAGGGGAAAAGGAAAGGGGAGAGAGAGAGACAGAGAGAGAGAGAGAGATAGAGAGAGATTGACTCTCAGCACCAGCACCACCAAGGAAAAGAGAACTATTTGGTTGGTGCAAAAGTATTTATTTTACATATACTAATTCATTTAGTCTCACAGTAAGCCCCGTGAAGTAGCCATAATTATTATGCCCCTTTTATAGGCAAGGAAATTGAAGTTTAGAACCCTGGGGAAATTTTTTTTACTAAATTTTTAGACCTAAAAGCTAAGAAACTAAACTGTTGACCAGAAATAATCCTGTAATGTGCTCTACCTTCTTATATCTGGCTTGAAATATCCTCAGCAGTCATTACCATAGAAGATGCTACCTGTGCTATCTCAGCAATTCTCAATTCCCTCTTGAGAATTAGGATAGAATTTTTTGCAAACAAATTTATTATTATTATAATAAACAAAATTACATCTTCTCAGCCAAGTGTAGTGCATGAACCTATAGTCCCAGCTACCCAGGAGACTAAGACAGGAGGATTGCTTGAAGCCAAAAGTTCGAGGCTAGCCTAAGCAGTGTACTGAGACCTGGTCTCTAAAAAAACTTTTAAAAATATATCTTCTCAGAGCAACTATGAATGGGTAAGTCTCCAAGATGTCATCTCCCTAGCATCCAAAAAAACTACAGATAGAGCAAAGCAACTTGAAAATTTAGGGCATATAGATTATGTACAATTTTGTGTCCACACTATTGCATTACTGTTTCAGAAGCAGTGTTCCTAAGATGTCAGTTTCATCAGTGTGAAGTTCTTTTGCAAGTAAGCACTAGATATTCAGAATCCAAGTATAGTCATACATCACTTAACAGCAGGGATACATTCTGAGAAATTCATCATTAGGCAATTTTGTCATTGTGCAAACATCATAGAGTGTACTTAGACAAACCTGGATTGTATAGCCTACTACACACCTAGGCTATAGAGTATAGCCTGTTGCTCCTAGGCTACAAACCTGTACAGCATGTTACTGTACTGGATACTGTAGGCAGTACTTACACAGCAGTAAGTATTTGTGAATTTAAACATATCTAAACATAGAAAAGATAATGCATTGCACTATGATTTTACAACAGCTAATGACATCACTAGATGATAGGAATTTCTCAGCTCCATAGTAATCTTATAGAGCCACCATCATATATGTGGTCTGTCTTTGACCGAAGGGTCATTATGTGGTACATGACTGTAATCAAACCTTATCCACAGTATAAGAAAGGGCCTTCACATATTCCTTGGAACCACTGTAGCACTTCAAAATGTACAGCAAAAGTTAAATTTGAAGTGCCCACCTTTCATGTATAAATCTCCACATCTTTAATAGATGAAGTGAAAATAAACACCAACAAAATATAAGCACAGAACAGTTCCCTATATGCAACTTTTATCTTTGATAAAAAAGACATTTAAATTTTATTACTCTGGGCCCAGCGCAGTGGCTCATGCCTGTAATCCCAGCACTTTCGGAGGCTGAGGTGGGCAGATCACTTGAGGTCAGGAGTTCGAGACCAACCTGGCCAACATAGTGAAACCTCATCTCAACTAAAAATACAAAAATTAGCTGGGTGTGGTGGCATGCACCTGAAATCCCAGCTACTCAGGAGGCTGAGGCAGGAGAATCACTTGAACCCAGGAGGCAGAGATTGCAGTGAGCTGAGATTGCGCCACTGCACTCCAGCCCGGGCTACACACACACACACACAAATTATTACTCTGGCCAGAAAAATATTTTTTAAAGTGCTGAGACTATAGAATCAAGCATTCTGTCATATTATCAGTGTTAAACAAATAGAGATAAATTAATCAGAATGGAGAACAATGAAGCAAGGTAAAGTGAAAAGTCATAGGAAAATACTTAGAATCTTCAAATGGGACAGTTTTGACATAGAAAATATTCACTAAATATTTTTAAATGAATGAGTGAATGATTAACAATAAATTTTAAAGCTCTCAAAAAACAACCTCTATTATTTAATATTTGTTGTATGACACAAAGTTATTTGACACTATACAAAAGCTTTTGTCTTATTTTCCCTCTTAAATAGAGGAACAACATCTGGATATTGCCTGTATGAAAAAATGGCTTAAAGAATTTAAGATAGAATGCAAGCTATTTCAGGCAAGCTCTCCAGTTTCTTACATCCATGAGAATTCTTTACAAAAACAAACAAAAATCACAAGATGCCCTTCACCTGATCTGCATCAGATTATCATAGCACAGATTCCAGGGCTGGCTGGCTTACCCTTATCTTCAAAATGAACGATGTTGAGAACTCAAGATAAATATTCAAAGGAGACATGCTGTAAAGAGAAAAGTAAAGGGGAAGAATTTAGTTTGCCTTGTCAAAACAAATTGTCCACTGGATTTACCTTCTAATGAAATAAATGAGCCATGTCTAGATAGGCACAATGTAGAGAAAGGTTTGTTGTTGGTTGGTTAGATCATTTCATTGGAAGACATTCAATATTTAAGAAAAGAAATGTAGTTGCATAATCCTCTAATTGTCAAACATGAAGAATATTCAAGTATGGTGTAAATTTTTTATTAGTTAAAGAAGACTTTGCATAAATGTTAACTGTTCTGTTATTGGTAGCAGTGCACATTTTTTCTTGCCACATCCTCATATTATCTTCCTGCTCAATTGCCTCCTTAATAGTCTCTTACAGCCTGTGAAAACTGAAAGAAAAGGTTTTAATGACTACTATGTAAAGTAAAAATGTTAATTACCTTCCAAACAAACATGAAAGGATAAAACTAACAGCACATCAACTAGGTGGGGGCAGAGAAAATCCTCTGTACTTAGGCCAATGATTCTTTAGACCAAGTGAAGATGCTGGTCATTCCCAACATGAGGAAGAGAACAAGGACGGGATCAGCAACAGCCCACAGCCTGGAAAATGGGAAGCTTCTGTATGTTATGAGTCTGAGCTTCATAGGAAAGCTTCATTATCCTATCTGAATTATTTTAAATTTCAGCATGACACAACCACATGAAAATATCAATCCAAAATACATTCCAGAGACATGTGTAACTATACAATCACCTCTAATAATCCCTGCTAATAGGGAACAGTGGTACAGACAACCCAAAATGTCTTTTTAAAAATCATTTTAATTGGGCTATGGATACAGTCTCATATCAACATATGACATTAAAAAGTTGATGAGCAATCAGAGGTACTACCTCAGTATTTTTGGTAGCTGTCACACTCATTCTTTCAAGAAGTTTGTGTCCAGTGTTGTTGGAAACTGACGAGGCAGAATGCAACCCTAGGAATAAGTTAAGGTCTAATGGAATATGAAAATTGAGAGGTATCCATTTCTGAGGTCTCTTCCAATCTAAAATTTAGAAATCTGTGTCTGAGAGACAAGGAAGTTAACAGGCTATCACTGGATTACCTATCTCACAGAAAAAGGAACAGGAGTTTTATAAGAACTTTTGATCTTCAAAGTCAGAAATAAATGTAAAGTAAATGTAGGAGAGGAAGTTAACCTGGGGGGCATACCAGGTGCCAAGACCTAGCTGGCTTAGAACCAGCTGGCTCAAGAGCAGAGAAACATTATTTTAATTAAAAGAAGAAAAGAAATTTTAAAAGAGAGGTGATAGCACATATTATTCGTTAAGAATTTAATTGGGAAAACTTCCGAAGAGCATTTCTACTTATTCATATCAAAATAGCCATAGTCCTACCCAAATATCCACACATATTTGTATTTTCAGTGCGTGATACACAAATAGCCTAAGCAGTTCTAGTTCTAAAACATATTTATCAGGAATATTTCATAGCAAATTCCCACGCTGGAGCCCGGATAAAAACTCAAGAGGCTGCTGCCCATTTTAGAATTAACCATGTGGGAAGCTGCAGGATGATTAAGTGAACATAGACTGTCAATGAGCTTTTGAAAGGCAGAAACTTTTTTTTATTCATCTTTGGAAACCCAGCACCTATTAGAGTGCTTGGTTCATAGTCACTACTGAATAAGTGGTGTATAGCCATAGGTCACTATCTGAGCTGGGAGCAAATCACAGACTGAAATTCAAATTATGTCAGTAGCTTCTGTGAACTTCTATGAGTCACTTCCTGCCCGTTTGGTCACCTAGGAAAGAGGCTGTCTGTTGGGATGTGTAACGTATCCGATGTACATTGAAGTCCTCATTTAAAAGTGCCAAATTACTATTATTAACTAAAGAACTGGTTCTTTATATTCACAAAGGTGTCTTTCATCTACATACTTGAAAGCACTTCAAGTCATAGCAAATTATTCCTATCACTTTTCTAAAACCTTAACACATTTTAAGGATTAAAAATGTGTTTATAGCTCTCATTTTTAATTATTATCTTTACCCAGTCCTAGATGGCTTCACTGTAATTACAACTTTTAAAGCCTTTGCTTGGTCTTTTACCTTTTTTTAGTATTAATGAAATACTTACATTGAAAAGGTTATTAGGTACAAAGAAATAATATAGTAGGCCCTTAGAATCACTAAGTTCAAGGGGAGTATGACTTTAACTCTGCCCATACCTAGACTCAGATAAATCTGAAGAAATATTTGCCGCTATCCTATTCACAGTAGCAAAGACTTGGAACCAACCCAAATGTCCAACAATGATAGACTGGATCAAGAAAATGTGGCATATATACACCATGGAATACTATGCAGCCATAAAAAAGGATGAGTTCATGTCCTTTGTAGGGACATGGATGAAGCTGGAAACCATCATTCTCAGCAAACTATTGCAAGGACAAAAAACCAAACACTGCATGTTCTCACTCATAGGTGGGAATTGAACAATGAGAACACCTGGACACAGGAAGGGGAACATCACACACCGGGGCCTGTTGTGGGGTGGGGGGAGGAGGGAGGGATAGCATTAGGAGATACTCCTAATGTTAAATGACGAATTAATGGGTGCAGCACACCGACATGGCACATGTATACATATGTAACAAACCTGCACGTTGTGCACATGTACCCTAAAACTTAAAGTATAAAAAAAAAAAAAAGAAATATTTGCCACTATCTAGCGACTTGTTATGTCTGAACTATCACTAGCCCTGAACGGATGGGTCAGATCTAGGGCTTAGGTGGCCTGTAACCACCAGGGAACAGCCATAATCAACAACATAAAGCCAAGTCCTCAGGAATCCTGTAAACTCTTGTTCTCCTAGCACTTGAGAAGTCAGGTGTGTTTGAGGGTTGAGAGGTTCCAACAGGACACATTCAAGGGCTCCCTGTACTTCTGCTGCTTAAATCCAGGCCAGTCTTGAGTACCGGTACTTAGCCATTTCTAGGCAATGCTCTGAGAGTCACTTGTTATTGCAACACTCAAAGGCCCAATTTATAACTGGTGCAGAGCTCCCTGTCTTCACTGCTGAAAAGAGGGAAAATGCTAAGAGAAAACGAAAGAAGCCATGAGCCAATAACAGATTCAAAAAATGGTTATGTTTGTTTAAAATCTTTTTTTGAAAAGTACACAGTTCTTATGGAAATGTAATTTATTTCAATAAATAATAATGAAGTGACTTTTATAGGTAGGATATATATCAGCACTACAGAGATTACAAGGGTGACTAAAATGTAGATTCTAGTCCATGACAGTTATTCTTACCTTTAAAGAAGAAGGAGTTGGGAATCCAATCCTTCTTTAAAGGTAAGAAGCGGATTGGGACTCCCAACCTCCTTCTCCTTTCAAATAGAGGCAGGGAAAGCAAAAGACTCACTTTCCCAAAGTCTCTTAATTGTTAGAGGTGTGAGTCCCTCAACTGCTGTGTGACAGTTTTGGCCAGTAAGAAGTCTGCTGGAGATGTTCAGAGATTTTTTTCTTTTGTGTTATGGCCCTGAATGCTGACTTGCTGCCTGAGGCTGTGGCAGGCATCTTGCAGTCAAATGGGAAAAAACAGGAGCGTCACCATGATGCTGGTCCTGACAACACTGAGCTGCTGAAGCAATGTCATCTGCCACCTCTTCCCAGCTTTTCTGTCATGTGAGAAAAAATAAAGCCCTATCTTTTTAAGCCAATGTCAATCTTTGTTGCTTAAAACGGAAAAGCATTTGTAACTGATAAAGAGTAATAAAAGTATTTTTTAGGTACACACATAACCAAGTTCAAAGAAGAAAATTACATGAAGTAGGCACCACTGTACCCCAGCCTGGGTGATGGAGTGAGACCCTGTCTCAAAAAAAAAGCTGTTTGAGTTTGAGTAGCTTATATTTATTAAAGTCCATTTTATGTTTATTTTATTTATCTTTCTTTCCAGTGTTTCTTAACCATGAAAACAAAAACATCTTAATCCCATTTAATCATGACAAATTACTATTTATTAAAAAAATTAAACTATCAGTAGCCAATGATTCATTGTGCCCTTCACATGATTATTATATGTATATATTCTAAAAATAAATACAATAATGAGCTCCTTGCTTCTGCATAGATACGACATCAAAATTATAGGATGTGCAGGCTTAAGATCAGAGCAGTAAGTCAGAACTCTGATCCTAACCAGCCCCAGGCAAAGCTGTTGATAAAAAACAAAACTTATTTTAAATAACAACAACAAAAATCCTATCCCAGTGCAGGGAAACGCACTGTGACTACTTGTTCATTAGATTCAAATATCTTTGCTCCTCATGGGCGAGTCCATTAAAGAGGCGAATGAAAAGCCAAATTTTCTTTTAAAAAATGAGAATTCTCCAAATTTAATCCAATGGTGAGGATGATCAATTTAGTTATTTATTTAGAGCGTTTAGAGTGTAAGAACACATCAACTGAATAATTGGCATTAGTGGGAAGGACTGATTTCTATTCTCTGAAACAATCTCTACATAGATAATTTTGGAATTTTCCAGATCTGTACATTGTCAGATTTCTGTAAGTATGCTTAATTCTGAAACAGTAATAATTAAGGATATTTTGTGCCAAGGTATCAAGACTAAAAATTCTGTTTTGTGTCTCAGTTTTCCCAAGCAAATTAGTCTTGAGAAGTGATTTTAGTATAGAGTTAAATACTAAGTTACATAAGAAAATAAACTGATGTATTATAGCCTCTAATATTGCTATGTATTTTTAATATTCAGAATAGCGCAAAACAGAGATGACAGATTAAATCTGTTAACATACATTCCCTGTGTTTAGTAGAGCTACAAAATACATGAAATTATTTTTAATAAATAAATTATGCCTCTAAAAGGGTACGTGCTGAAAAAATGTCTAACTTTACTATGTTAGTTAATGGGAATCTAAACAAATTAAGAAAATAAATTTTTTCTTCTTGCTTAATTTGTATATACTTTATTTGCATTTACTAATTTGTATTTGATTTTATTTAATTAGTATTTAAATACTTCACCCATAGAACTTGTGTGTGTGTGTGTGTGTGTGTGTGTGTGTGTGTCTGCGTGTATTGGTTCTGTTATCCCTTCATAGCTTCAGAAAGCTGATCTATTTATGGCTAAAATACATTAGTCTTGGAATATGCAAGTATTCGTGACTCTCAAGTATCCTAAAATCAAAAGCTAATTTATTTTACTCTTAAAATATATTTAAGCTTCTAAAGATTGTCTGTCTTTGCTTGTGTCTGTCACAGATGGATTTCTATTTAGCAAATATTGTACAACCTGAGAGCAAGGGACTGTCCCTTCTTACATACACATCATTCTCAGCCTCCTCCACTCCCAAACTAACTACCACCATACACACACCATTTTTTAACAAAACCAAGGAGTCATAGCTTGTTTCTTTTAAAATTTCTTTGCAAACAAAAACTAATGGCTCGTGTTTTGGAGTGAAAGTGGCCAATTTCTCAACAAAGGCAGTCGGTAGCAAAGAGAACTTTCTGCTCCCAAAATAGAAGCAGTGAATCTTCTGTCCACTCCTGGCTGACAGGTATTGGGGAAGCCAGGCAGAACCACTCAAGAATGGGGTCCCAAATGCGTGTGCATATCTGCATATCTGTGCATACACATACATATCTCTCTCTTTTTCTCTCTCTGTCTCTCTTACACATTTCCAGCTGGCCATCTGGCCTTAGTAATTAGCTCCATGAAGTAAAACTGATTTTGGTATATGGAGACCCTACTAAGTTACTGAATTCAACTTTGATACCTAAAGAGTTTAACCAAACCTTTCTAAGATTTTCCTAGTCATGCAATCATTAGGTTTCCGTTTAACTTCTTTCAACTCATTCAGAGGCTGATCTTTCATGCACCATCACTTTTTAACCCCTAAAGTTATTTTCTATTACAGAGGAAAATTTTTTATAAATATATATATTTAAAACTCATTCTTAAAATCAAGTTGAATCACGATCAAACTCTTTCAACTCTTGCTAGCTTCACCAGAGCTCATATTGGTGTTACCAATAACTTGTTTTTCAATGCCTCAACTTTTTTGACAGAATTAACTGGCACTCTCAGGATTTGGTTGGGAGTTTGTTTTTGTTTTGATTATCTGTGTTTATATTTATTTTTAAGCAATTCAATAAAAATAACCAAATTGAAATAATGTATTACAAAATCCATCATTTGATTGAACTAACTGACCAATTCAGTCATGAGTGTAATCAAATACAGTGCAAAATACCAAGACTGAAATTTAAATTCGTTCAGAAATATAGAAATTCAGAATATGTAACTACATTTATATATATATATATATACACACACACACACTATATATATATGCAAATCATGGTAATGTACTCTCATATATATATATTCATATATATAAATATATATACATATCATGGTAATGTACTCTCATCAGACAAGAAGGTACTACCATTGGGCATGTTTAGGTAACCTGAAAATACAGTGTACTTTGAAGAGCTTTGAATACATGGAACTGTACAGAACAATATTTATGCTACTAAACAGTGTGTAACAAGGTGTGGCTCTTGAGTGCCACATCATAATTATTATTTAGACTTTTGAGCTTGTTCAACCATCACTTATAAGTACCAGGAGAGAAGCTAGGCTGAGAGCATGGCAGGCTGCAGCCTGGGTGGGTAGATTGTCAAGTGGTCTGAGTTTGTCTTCAGAGCCTCCCTTCCCTTTGCTGGGCCTTCCTTGGTTGTGTCTCCCTCATTTGCCCTCCAAGTACGCCCCCATACACTTCCTCCACTACCAAACCAGTCTTCTACCCCTCAGCAAAACATGCTCCAGAAAATGATGGAATACATTTCCTTTCATGCGTAAATAGCTAATGAAGCTTCATCTGATATCACCCCTGAATTATTTAAATTTTAGTTACACAACAAATAAACAAAGAATAAAATATTTAATTTTCTAATTTCACGATCCTGGTAAGTGAAGACAGTACTTTTGTAGTAGGAGGTGACACTCTTCCCAGCGAAAGGGCTAGGGGAAGTATAGTAAGCTCAAATTATTTTCAGAATTTGCTATAGATACTCATCTAAACTTAGATCAGGTGAAATATTTCCATGGAAAATGTGAATGCTGGTATTTGCTTATGCCAAGTAATTGGTAACTTGTAGCTTGATAAATTAAACCATAATTATTTTCAAGAGTCATTTTACCCTGAGTTGTCTCCAAATTACTGTAATCTGTAGAAAAATATTTGGTTGTCCACTGCCCAGAGATATTGATCTGTCATTTTTCACTCTGTTCCTGTTGCCTATTTTAACACATTATAATTTGGCTCATAGACAAAAGAGAACAGTCCAATTTTCTTATTTTAGTATTAAGATAATGAAAATAGTAACTTTGTACTAGGTTAAGCAAGAAACATCATGTGAGACAAAGGGCAGGAAAACATGTTAGAATTAGGAGGATGATTGCCAGGCAATTAAGTATTAAAGTTTCCCAATATGTTGAGGCTGTATGTTAAATCTTTCTAATATTTCATGAGCCACATAAAGAGTAACATCCAAAGCAGCATTAGCCGATATCCCAATCCCTGTCTCTCTTGTCTCTGACAATGGACATCGCAGTGCGAGATGTGTCTGCCCAGTTCTGCAGCAGTTTGTGTAGCTAATGAGAGATGTTCATACCCCAGGGCTGCTCAAGCTCCATGTTTTTAACATGAGCACTGAGGGTTGTTGGCGTTTTAGGCTGCACTCTTGTAATATGACTTTCTCTCTCCCTCTTTTTCTTTCTTTTTCTATTTTCTTTGCTTCTTATCACCTCCATCCAGTGGCCTTTCAGTGATCCCTACTGTGGTTGTATTTCCCAGGAGATCCAACAAAAACAGGTACAAGGGTTTCCAAAGTCTTTTCTCAGAATGTAAAGGGAAACGGGAGAATTGCTTTGACTAGGCAGGATGTTTTTTTGTTGTTGTTGTTTTTGTTTTGTTTTGTTTTGAGATGGAGTCTCACTCTGTCACCCAGACTGCAGTGCAGTGGCTCCATCACAGCTCACTGTAGTATCAACCTCCCAGACTGAAGCGATCCTCCCACTTCAGGTCCCTGAGTAGCTGAGACTACAGGCACACTCCACCATGCCTGGCTATTTTTGGATTTTTTATAGAGACTGGGTCTCGCTGTGTTGCCCAGGCTGGTCTCAAACTACTGAGCTAGCGCAATCCACCCACCTCAGCCTCTCAAAGTGCTGGGATTACAGGTGTGAGCCATCGCACCCAGCCCAGGCAGGAAATTTTTAAATGAGCTATGATTGGGGATTCTGAAGTGTTCTTCCTAACCTCATACCAGTTCATTTTCACAATGGAAGCTACTGCAGGTCTCAGGTGGAGAACTCAGACAGATCGAATCTTTAGTGAGCAGTTGACATGCAAGGGAAGCAGCATGATATGCTGAAAAGAACATTGGTCCAGGAATCAGGAGATCTGAATTCTAGACCTGCTGCAAATAAAGTAATTTAAATCAACATTTATTTGCCCTGGGCCTCATTTTATTCATCTATAAAAATAGATGATCATCAAGGTCCTCTCCAGTATTAAATTTCTGTGAAATCTACAAATTCTACCAATCTGTAGAGGTTCTATAAAAAGGTAACTGATGAGTTAAATTATTAAGTAGAAGTCTGACCTTCCAAGTAATCATAGCACCTTCAGAGAGGAAGAAAAACGACAAAAACGACAACAGAACAGCAAAGATGGTTCACCCCCTTCTTTTGAAATTATTCACTGTCTTTCTAGTAACAGCTCTGACTATTATAGGCTAATATTTGTCTTTTGGCCTAGTCATATGTTATCTGGACACTAAGCGTCTGAGGCAAAGGAACAGGAAGTAGTTTCAGTTATCGATATCATATTCTTAAAGCTCCTTATACCACAATTATCCAGTTTGGAACTCTGGCAATATAAAGGAAACCCTTCTTTTATATAATTCACAGAAATAATTTGTTAAGACAGAAAACAGATTTACCAATTTGGAGGTCAATGAACTTCTTGGTTGATTTAGAGATAGTTGTCCAGAAGGCTTTAGGGATCTTCGATTTCCTGGTAATAATATGTCACCCATACACAAAGCACTTTAATGTGATTCTTCATGCCATGTTATTTTTGTCTTCTTTTCATAAAGTTATACTATTTAAGCTCCTTTGTAATCTATATTAAAACATTGAATGATGTTCTAATTAAAGTAATAACAATCAAAAATTAAAATTACTTAACAGGAAAGTCATCATTTTCTGATTTTTTTAATTGGATGCCCAGTAGCTGAGGTGAATTAAAGACAAGTTCTCCTAAAGGAATTAAGCTTAAATTTACTTATGCTAATTCACTTGAGGTTAGAACAGTTGTAAAACAATGTAGAGCAGGTTCCTCAAAGATAAAACTATCAAATTTGGCCTTCTACTTGAAGATAATACTGTGGTTTGACATAAATAATAGACATTGTAAAAACACTCCGGAGAAACTGACATAGAAAAACCATCAAAATCTGATAGGCAGTGCAAAAACAGTGCTTATTGGAAAAACACAACACACTTGATTTAAATAAAACTGGAAAACAAGTCTAAAATAATAAACAAAAAGCCAACAATTTTATTTCACCATCTCTGAATATTTCATGATTGTGTCATTGAATTTTCTGATTCATTCCCATGACTGTCTTCCTCTGCCTTTGTCCTTATTTTGTAGGGCTCAAAATGTGTACAGATCACCCTGTTAGAAGTCTAGAAGACCACATTCCCCGTAAAAGTTGCTTCAGTCTGGTTATTTACCTATAAAACAAGAAAATTAAACAAAGTTCTCTGGGTTGGGTATTTTAGATTTTAAAAATCTTTTTAGAAGCTGAATCTATTCTTAAGAAAAAAAATCTTATCTATGAAACCCAATAGTGTAAATAGATACAAGAGTAGCTATGTGTGTGTGTGTGTGTGTGTGTGTGTGTGTGTGTCTGTGTGCATAGGGTCACAGGGTGAGAAGGGGCACAGCCCTATGCACTGGGCCTCTCCTCCTCTACTTGATGATCACTGAGCCATCACAGAGTTTGAGAATAACCGTGATCTCTTAGCTATTTCTCCATACGGGCTCTGATATTTGACTCATATTTGCACTCTGTTTGGTACTGCAATTATTATGTTGCAACAGAGCCAACTACATAGCAATGTTTTCCCAGCCCTGAGATGTTATAGAGGCACCTCCGGACTCTTGGGGGTAATGATATCCAAAAAAGAAGCCTCGCCATTGGGGTTCTGTAACTTTCTATGCCCCGCACCCCATTTCAACCAGAGCATGTATGTTTTACATATTTTATATGTTTTAGGGTCATATAAAATGTAGTTTGAGAAAAAGACTCTGTGGCTTAAAAAGTTCAAAATCCGCTGTTATGGAACAGTGTTTCTAACCATTGTTTCACCTTGAAGCACAAGAAAAATGGCATTGGCATGCACCTCACAGTTTTGTAAGCATGCCCAGAAACATAGGCAATATCTCCACCCCTTTTCCTCCCTCTCAAGAACACATAAAAACTTTTCAAGAGGATGACCTCAATGTTACTACAGAGTTTGCCTTGAATATGTGTATTTGTTCCTCCTTTGTGGCTAAAATGATTGCTGTTCCCACAATTTCTTGTAAGCAAGAAATGAATAGGAAAAAAAAAAAGAAATGAACTGAGTTAACTTTAACTAGTTCTTTATTTATAGAATTATTCTATCCTCATGCAGGAACTTTAGCAACCACAAAAAACTAAGTTTGATAGTTAAAAAGAACTACAATGCACCACTAAGTGCCTTCTTAGCTACCTCATGATTTGTAATTCAACTTCAAGGTGGCATTGGCAAGTCAGCACCATGAAGGGGCCTGATAGTAGCTAGTTTCCTTTTTCAATTCTTTCTAAATGATGAGCTTTAAAAGAGATGAGAATCACCAATACTTGGAGCGAGGTGAAGGGACAATATGGAGGATTTAAAGAGATGATTTGATATGTCCTTGTTTTTAAAGCCTGGTATATTTAAAATGCATGTGTGTGTAAATACATATGTGAAATATTAACTGATATTTTAATTACTGCCTACAAATAGTAATCATTGAGGTTTTTAAAAATGAAGTTGTTTGTATAGCCACAATGTCCATAATCAACAATCAAATGTATAAATGAATCAGGGCAAAATCAACCATTACTAAATTTGAGGCAACACAGCCTTTCCTTCTCCTTCCAAGTCTCCCATCGTACTATATGCACTTTACATAGTACTGAGGTG